>NC_000010.11:55446125-55597640 GCF_000001405.40 Homo sapiens
AGTCTTAAAAATGAATGAACTAATAAATAACACCATGTAGTTGAGAAGCACATTGACATACACACACTCACACGAACACACACACAGAAACACACCAGTAGGAACAAACAAAATAAAGAAACCTAGAAAAAAAATCATGTTTATGAGCAAAGCAGTTTCTCAAATATATAGAGAGATAGATATGTGTATATATATATATATAAAACATTCTCAGAGAAACAAAAAGTTTATTTAATAAGATAAAAATAAGTTCTAAAAAGAAAACATTCAGAGAATGAGGGTTCTAGAGAAATGTTTTTAAAATGATAGAAGAAAATCTATGTGAAAGGTTAGAAGAGAAAGTCAAAGTGAATCTCCCAAACTGTGGTATCATAAAAACGGGAAGATAAATATGATCAAAGAGGGAATGTGAGATCCAATGAAAAAGAGTTCTAGCATGTGGTGGATTGCATTATTGGTCTCAATTGTTGAGCCTCATCAACATGCGCATACTTGCGATGGTCTCATCATGGGTGGAATATGTTTCTTTTCTAATGTTACATAAATGAAAGCAAAAGTGTGCTAATATTAAGCCTGTGTCTTAAGAGGCTTTATTGTTTCCAGTTGCCCTATTGTACATCTGCCATTGCCATGTGAAGAACATACCTAGCTAATTTACTACTCTGAGAGACATATATGGTGCTGAGTCTCTCGAACTGACTCACACAGACCTGTAGTGTGAAGCAGCACCACTCAGCTAAGACTTGTGAAGCAATCAAACCACAGTAAGAAGCAGAAAAGTGAGAAAATAAATGAGCATTGTAAAGGTCTACATTCTGGGGTAGTTTGTATCACAGCGACTGCTAACAGAAATACAGAGAGACAGATAAAACAGAAGTCATAAAATGGTCAAAGAAATAATTTCAAAAACTGAAGAGAATGTAATGTTGCAAGTTCAAAGGCATAAAGAAGTGTCAAACACAATGAATAATAATAATGATTATAATAACAATACAAATCAAGTAACAATTATGATATTAAACAACAAAATGGATATGAAATAACTCCATACTTTCTGGAGGCATTGGTAAGTGTAGTAAACGTTTTCATATAAACCATAAAGTGAGAAATCATTAAGTATTGTTAATAGCAACAAGTATCTATGAGACAACTGTAGAGAAATGATTTAAAAACTCTATGGGGAAATTATTTTCAACTGAGAATTCTATATCCAGGCAATTTATACTCAAGGGTAAGAGTTGAATAAAGGCATGATAGAAATGTAATATCATAGAACGTTTAAGTCCCAGGGATGCTTCCTTAATAAGCCCTTTGAGGAAATCATTCAACAAAAAAGAGAAATAAAAAAGTATTGTTTAGACTATGCTGACATGAGATCCTACGTCTCCAGAAATGCTTCAGGCTTAATGAGCAATAGAATCAAATAGGCGGAAACAAGAAAATGGTATCAGCAAAACAAAATATAAATGATTGTAAAGTGTGGGAACAAAATAGATTCCCTGCAAACTAAACCGAAGAAAAAATAATGCAATATTTTTCTAACTTCAGGACTTAAAAAATAGTTGTGAAATAATTTTTTAAAATAGTCATTAAAACCATAGAATTAAGATTAGAATTATGTTCACATAATTAAAATATTATAAATTTACAACTTGTTACATTAGAGCATCAGAGGATTGGAGTAAGGGAAAGTGTGTTGGGAGGGTTTTTATAGTGGAGTATAAAGTGTGGAGTATAAGTGTAAGGAGTCTAAATCCTTGTTTTTCACAGCTGAAAGTCTGCAAATAATATCAACCATTGAAAAATCAAGAGTCACACACACAGTAGCTTCCAAGGAAGAGCTAGGATAAAACTGGTTAACACTGGGTTGTGTGAATAATTTGGGGGAGAAAGAGACAGAGGGTTGTTAATCTGTTTCATTATGAATTTTATGGTACTATTCAACATCTAAATCTGGATACATATTACTTGATAAAATTGATCTTAAAGAAAAAACAACAGTTTAAAATAATTAAGAAACTAAAATACAAAGTGAAAAAGGAGACAGGGGGATCGTAATTCCATAGGCATCTAATGACCTGGCTAAGCTAGTTCTAACCTTCTCAGTTGTCAGAAATCAAACATGGAACTGCATTTTTCACAAGACTAAGCGCAAAAACTTACAGAGTAGGTTAGATTTTTTTTACACTAACATCACTCTGTAATAAATATCTCATCTGTGAAAAATAAATCAAGATTCACCTATATTTTCAAAGTACAATTCTTTAAAAATATTTGTTCTTCCATATCCTGGGAAAATGTGTGTTACAGGATGAGTTTATACCTGCAAAATCATTTCCAATTTATAAAAATATGGGGCCCGTGAATAATTACTGCAGCAGACAAAAACACAATTTTTTTCAGTAGGAAACTTGAGAATTTTTGATTAAGTAAACATTTCAAAGTGTAGAACTTCTTACTAGTTATTGCAGACATCTGAATGGTGAAAGGGCAATGATTAACTACGGAAATGTATTTATATCCTCAGTTTCTGTCTGATGCAAATCTCTCAAAATATATTAATAATCATGATTACTAATGTCTAAAATATTTTCCTGAAGGTCCCACAATAGTTGGAAAAGTAATTTATAAGAAAGCCAATATACTCAGACCTCTTTGTTGTGTACTTAGGAGAACAAACTTCAAAATTGAAAACAATAAATTCAGTTGCTGATACATTTCTTAATTTTTCATTCTACTGAGATTAAGAAGCCACCCTATTCAGGAATAAGTAAGAAAGAATTAATTGTTAATTAAACAGAATTTTCAATTCTTTTATCAGGTTTGATTCTATCATCTTAAGTAGACAATCATAAGCTAAATCTCATACTTTATATTTAATCCCAATGTGTGCTAATGAATATGCTTAATATAATATTTGTAATCAAATTTATAGATAGATCTAGGCATTGATTGAGGTAATTATTCTCATTAAAGGTTGCCTTTAAATTGAGTAAAAATAATTCTAAATATTTTTAAGTATAGAGACAATCTCAAAAATGTCACCAATCACCTCATTCTCATTGTAAAACCTCATTTTACATCCAAAGCTTGGCTTGCTGCCTATTCTGTCAATGTTCCAGTACAGAATGGTACCACTACCTGCTATTACAGGACTTTAGGATTCTTTTTACTATTTTGTACAATGTTGGTTCCATCAGAAACAAATGCGGATTTGCAAGTACCCCAGAAACCTAAGCTGGACAGAATTTAACATAACAAATCATAGGAGACTCATGACAACAGGCAATAAAATACAAAGAGTACACCTACAATGCAGTGTCTATCCATATGTATTGGAGTTATTAGAAAGATTGCCCTGTCTAAAATGAGAGGTCAAAATATGGTGGTGAGGAAGATATATGCAAAATAACAGGTGAATACAATTTTTAAAGAACTAAAACTAAAAAGGGACATGAAGAAAAGATAGAATACTTTAGTTAAAACGTCCTATACAAAACGAAATATATGATAGGAATAATAAAATTGTATAGATTTTTATATTAATCTTAAAGACCTGAGATACCTATTAGGACTATCACTACAAATTTTAATTATCTTCTTTGATGGCAACATTTCATTTGTCTTTCAGGCTTCTCATTTTAAGAAAAGGTGAATACGAGAACCCTTGGGTCATAGATTCTGTTTTTTTCACTAATTTTTTTTCTGAGGACAGTAAGTGTTCAGTTGTGCCAGAAGAACATTACAGTGTTCGTTTTCACTTCCAACACCCTCAAAATACATTAATGAGGACTTCATAACATCACCAGGTAAGCCAATCATTTTGAGTGTAGGTATTTCTGAGGACTCTGGGAACATATAAACAAATAAAATAAAAAAGACACGCATTAAAACATGGCTTAAAGCATTTTTTTTATTTTAACCTTTACTTATTTAGAAAATCCTTCTGAGGAACTAAGGGGATATGCAATAGTGTTCTATAATATCAAGCTACATGCATAATGTAGGTAATGACTTCTAATGTAATCTGGAAAATCCAGTTAGGCTGCCAGAAGAGGAATGAAACCTGAGACAAGCTAAGAGTGAATGGACAGCTCAGCTCAGTGCAATCATAACATATAATTATTTCCCAGGCTCGTTTATACATGAGAAAAGTTTATCAAGGTCTCAAAGAGTCTGAAGGAATAAAAAAAATGGTCAGTGATGAGAGGCACTGTCACTTTGGATAACAGATTACACTCACTCTTAGGAGATGGCTTAAGACAACAAGTAGAGCAAAGTTAGAAATAGGCTACAGGCATCTGCTGAGTTTGACAGCCCTGAAATCTTCAGGAACGCACCTAATAGCCTAATACCAGTGTAGTTGAGCCCTCTCCGGCATTTACCTACAGAGTTAAATGATCAGAACTCTTTTGGTACTAAAGGCAAATTATCAAAGACATCAAATGTTGTACAATTTTTTTTTACTGGTACATTGTTCAAATTCATTGCAATTTTCAGTAGTTCTATTGTATAGTCTTGATATGGTCACTTAAAAGAAGTACACACTTTCTGCTACCAGGTTTTCTTTTCAAGCACTGGCACTTTCCTAGTTGTTTGATAAGGTATATGTGTTACTGTAGAATCTATTTTTGTCTTGTGTGAGCTCACATCAATGCTATTGACACTAAAAAAGAGACTGGTTCCGATTATCCAGCTAAGCAATCTCCCATATCACCTATCACCTCTAATCCTCTGACACACAAATGTTCTTCCAGGTCTCTCAAATATGAATAAAACATGTGAAAATTATATTTTAAGAATTAGATACATGGAAGAAGGGGTAAGAACTATATATATATATATATATATATATATATAGTATGATCCTGACATACCATATAAGCTAACTCTAACATTTACATAGAGAATTGCAAAGGAGATTTCAGAGAGCTACAATGGCATGATAGGCCAGGAAGTTCTCAGGAATGAGCACAACTCGGGTCTAAATATGGGTTTTCTGAACCTAGAGCCCATGCTCTTTTCATTATGCCACACTGCCCTGGCCTATGTGTGTCGCATTCCCTCTTCCTCTAAAATAAAACAGTTTGGGGCCAAGCGTGGTGGCTCACACCTGTAATCCCAGCACTTTGGGAGGCCAAGGTGGGTGGATCACGAGGTCAGGAGATCGAGGCCATCCTGGCTAACACAGTGAAACCCCATCTCTACTAAGAATACAAAAAATTAGCCAGGTGTGGTGGCATGAGCCTGTAGTCCAAGCTACTCGGGAACCTGAGGCAGGAGAATCCCTTGAACCTGGGAGGTGGAGGTTGCAGTGAGCCGAGATCGCACCACTGCACTCCAGCCTGGGAGACAGAGTAAGACTCCGTCTCAAAAAAAAATAAAAAAATAAAAAACAAAACAGTTTGAGTTCATACTGTGGCACATTAAAATTTAAACAAATATTGTAAAAAAGAATTCATTCAGAATTCATTTTAAGTAGTAAATATTGTAAAAATGAATTCATTCAGAAGCTCATGAAACATGTGTGATACTACCAAAGATCCAAAATTAAATATACACAGCTTGGTTCAGGATGATTTTCACGGAGAAAACCTATATTATTTTTAGCTCCGATTCTGAGTTGACATCTATATTAAGTGAAAAGCCAAATACAAAGTGTGTGCATGTACACATCTATCTATTACCTATTTATCTAACTATGTTTAATGATTATCTGATTGTTTCTAAACACTTGAAATTACACAGCTTTAGCTATATCTCTCAAGATAGGTCTCTGTTCTCTATTTTGAAAGAAGGCAAGATATCACAACATATTCCAGGATATCGAAAAATGCAGTTATATCTGAATAGTTATACCAATTGTGAATAAATGTATTTTAAGTATTGATATGACTAAATAGTTTATTAGTGTCTTAAAAATGTTGTATATTAGAAATAAAGAGATATTTTTGTCTTTCCATTTTTGCATACCCTTTTATTAGACAGAATAATACTCTGATTAAGACAGTTATATTCAAGGATATCCTTGAATGAGGGTAAGTTTGAAAAATGATTACATACCTATTTTAAGTACCTTTGAAACTGCATTTTATGAGTGCCTCTTAAAACCAAAGACGAGTGTAAATGCCATTGTGTTAAGTTGTCTCTGAAGTAAACTTAATTATCCACATGTTTGGCCTGCACGTTACCTTGACCCATAGCCAGAAACTAACTCAGGGAAACTTCAGAGATAATAGGACCCTAGAGGGCAGATACAGGCCAAGGTTAGAGTACAGTATTTGTCCCATCCTGAATTCACCTAGGAAGGTTTGCTGTATAATGCTTATGTTCCAATTTTGTTACAGGAATCTAGATTCTGGTTTCCTTTCTTATCCTAACACTAAGCCCACAATAGAAATAGTGAATAATTCATTCTAGCATTCAGAAAATAATCAAAATGCATTTTTCTTATCAATATATTTTGTTCTTTTATGGTGTATACTCCAGAATCTGAAATGCTGCATTTAATGTTTTCTTAGTAAACCTCTTTGATTTTGAGACAAAAATACTGAACTAAACAACCAACAAACCAACAAACCCCCCAGAAACAAATTTCCACTGGCAACATTTCAACAGTATTAATCATATTAATAGGCACAAAAAAACTAGTGTTGTTGGGTGATGACTAACCTAGCTACTGAAATATAAGTCAAAAACATTCAGAATAAAGGATGTCAGACAATAAATCTTGATATCCTAGTAATACCTTCAAAGAGTATATACTATTTCTTAAATATTAAATGCAGAGTAGGATTTACCTAGAAGAGGCCTTGGAATACAGAACAGTAAAGGTAGAGAATAAGCAAGGGCTTTAAGAATATAAAGCACTATCTCTGCATTTGTTGAATTTATATTTTAATTTTAAAAACATATAAATACAAATAAACTAAATACCTCTACATGTATTCATTGTCATATCTAAAAGTAAGAACTAGTCTAAATCTCAGAGTCATTTGAGGGTTAAGCAAGCTGAGACATTATTCCCTATGAAGCATTTAGCCCTGTGCTTTCAGTCTGCTTTTCCAGTCTCTGCATGTGTCAAGCTGAATGTTGGGACATCACATGTGAAAATACAAGATCATCAGCAAGAGGATAGGTGGATTAGATGCCCTCCCACATGATAACATTTTCTGATTTGAAATACAGACAATAAAATATTGTTTTCTTACTGCAGCGGATCTGACATAGCACCTGTACATGCATGTTTAGGTTTTGTAATAGAAATATGACAGAAAAGATGCTGAGTAGGAAGCTATGAAAAATACTCAAAAGCCAACCTCTTTATGGTAACCTCCTAGCTTGTTTAAATTACCATGCCTACCTCTTCTCCAGCCTTGTTCATTTTCTCAGCCACTTCCTTTTCCTGAACTTTGATTCTGATTTGATGCATGCATATACTGAAAAAAGTTTGCCACCAGTTTGGGGGTTTCGGGGGGTCAACTAGATTCTATGTTTACTTCTCAGTCCCATTTCCCTGGCTTCAACTACAATTCCTCTAGATGATAATGCTGGATACTGACCCTGACTATAGGGCCCTTTCCACAAGTGACTGCAAACACTCTCCCAATTCCAATTCCAAGCCAACCTTCATGCTCTCCTACCTCTATACCTTAGGTAGTGCATCCACCAGGCTTCTTCTTGCATTAAAATACCATTCTTTATATCTTGAAATAAAAGACTATCCCTCGAGGATATCTCATTTAGCTTCTGCTATATCTGGAGAATCTAAGAGTACCAAATTATGAATATTTGTCATTTTCACCCCTTCACATCAGAATAAAATCCCATATACAATAAAAAGGAAAAAAATGTTTTTTACTTTTATGTAATTATAAAACACCAGAGAAGAGAAATTTTTGTCTTATTCTATAAAATAATTCAAAGAATTTTAAAGAAATGATTCCGTTGACCAGACCATAACATAGAAAGATATTATGGATAGTTATATTTATAAGAATGTGTCTCATTCAATATTTAAAACAAATCTGCACATTATTATTCTGATAATCTAATACTAAAAGCTTCATTTATGATACTATGTGCCATTTAAAGGAACTTTTCAGAATACATGCAAAGTAATTTAGCTTATAAATTAAGAATTGCTTAGCAAAGTTGTTTTTTTCTTTTTTTATTAACAGTTTAAACTGCTGGATCAGCCCTTAAATACAAAGTAAGTTCAATAATATATAATTTCCCCCCAATTTAAAGGGGATTACAGTATTGAAACTGAGAAAAACAAAACTATAAAAAAAATCGAATTGTAATATCCTATGTAATTGCCTTTTTGAGTTGTTAGTAATATTTCTATCTTAGAAGTTTAGCTAGATAGGCCGGGTGCTGTGGCTCACGCCTGTAATTTCAGCACTTTGGGAGGCTGAGGTGGGCGGATCATGAGATCAGGAGATCGAGATCATCCTGGCTAACACAGTGAAACCCCGTCTCTACTAAAAATGCAAAAAAAAAAAAAATTAGCCGGATGTGGTGGCGGGTGCCTGTAGTCCCAGCTACCCAGGAGGCTGAGGCAGGAGAACGGTATGAACCCAGGAGGCGGAGCTTGCAGTGAGCCGAGATTGCACCACTGCACTCCAGCCTGGGCAACAGAGACTCTGTCTCAAAAAAAAAAAAAAAAAAAAATTTAGCTAGATAATCTTTTATATTCTATTGGCAAATAAAATATAAATGATACTGAAACACTTGTCAAGCCTCTTAAAGTTTTGCTTTTCCTGAGTTTTATTACGAAATTAATAGAGTATATATAAATAAATATACATATATACACACAAACACACATATTTATACACATGTATACAATGTATATATGCATACATATCTTCATCTTATGCTTTATGTAAGTGCTTACAAATAGTACCTAGATATTGCTCTGTGCCCTCAGTTAATGTTGTGTGTTGCGTGGTATATTATAGTAAAAGTACAAATGGTCTTTGAATAAGAAAATCTGGGTTCAAACCCAGTAGGCCGTTTTCTGCCTTTACCTAAGCACAAACTAATATGCTTTCAATACTCATCTGTAAAATGAGGATAGTAACTCCAACCCAGCAAATAGACTACACCCAAATATAACTGCGTCTTGTGGAAGCATGCAGTCATCATGAATTGTATATTATTATTTATAGTTCACTAACTACAATGTAAAACATCTCTGGAAGATAAAATATTCTTCTGTGTGTTCACACTATATTTATCCTTAAGTTTTTTTCAAGATTACAATTCAGATCATGTTATACCAAGCAAATTCTAGCATTCAGATCCTTAATATGACACTAAAAAACAGCTGGAAGTTACCATATAGTATCAACAATTACCATTTGTGAAAACCATAGCACAATTCTAATATTTAAAAATCATTATCAGAACTATCATACAACTTTAGACATTTCAATACTGTACTGTTTCTTCGTTGCTGTGATAGATTATTAATTGAAAAAAAAGGTGAATAAGTATTTTTGCTTACCTTCTATTCAACATAAGAATAACATACTCTAATTCACTGAGCATACAAATTAGTATAGCTCTTTTTGAGGACAATTTGCCTGTATAAAAAATGTAATTATTTATTAATGACCTCCTCAATTTCAAATTAATCTATTGATATGTTTATAGACAAGGCACCCCACAAGAAATGATAACATATAATTTACCATCAGTAGAGGACTTGTTTTAAGAAGTCTTAAGATATTTGTGATTTGAGTGTTAAATTAAGTAAGCAGGAAGCCATCAACCTGAGGCTGTCTTCTTACACCGAGTTCCTACGTAATGAACTACAACCTTACTTAGTATATACATAAACGAACTAAATCTTGATTTAGTATTATAACAGTTTCAACCAATCACAGATAGCCAACTCATCATGGCTGTTAAGGTGGGCGTGATAGGGCATATGCCAGTTGTAGTCAATCAGATAATTTTTCTATATGGCTTCAACTCTGCTTAATTTATCTAAAGTTTTTCTTCTAACATGAGAAAAGCAAAATACATAATAGCATCTATGGATGTGATGCTTTTTGGCAAACAAAAAAAAATCATGACGTGTGTGCTTATAAGTTCATACTTTTATTTGCATGTGTATTTTGAAATATAACAGGAAAATATTCATAGTAGTTACCTATGGAGAGAGGGACTGGAGAGGCGAGCAAGAAAAGTTATCTCTTTGCTTTTTGTCTGTACATGTGGTTTGAAATCTTAAAACTGTAAATTTTATATTTTAATGGTGAAGAAAATATATGAACATTATGATCATTTATTTCCTTCATGCATTCTGTGTTAAACGTCTCATAAATAATGCAACTGTTGAATTCACCAACTCTTGTTTATCCTGTGTTTGTGGTATAAAATGTCATTTCATGGGAGCAGAAACCAGTCCATTTACCTTTGGGTGCTTCTGTTTAAATAGGTGGGAAGAAAACCTTATTGAATATTTTCAATCTATAACACTAATTATGCAATATTTTCAAAATATATTTTGGATAAAAATAAAATTACCTAAAACTTTTATTGGATAAGGACTGAATTATGTAAGAATCATAAATTTAGGTATGCCAATGAGAGTCTAAATTGACAGCCTTGTCTGGTTCTGAAAAAAAAATTGCTCTAAATCATTTTTGGAAACCATAGATGATAGATGATAATGCTGTTGAGTCTGGTTCTGTGAACACTTCATCTTGTGAAAGTTCTGAGCAGTAACTGGTAATTAGTATTAGAGGCTTTATCATTCTTCCTGAGCAAATTATCAGAAAGAATGCTATATTTTCTGAATGAAATCACCAATTAATCATGCCACTGAGCTTAACTGTACCACTAGTGAAGACATACAAATATGGTGGGAATGTTTCTTTTTAAAAGACTGTTGAATACCAAAATCTAGAATTACATGAGCTGAGCATACAATGTGAAAGTACGAAGTCCTAAAACGGCATATCACAAATTTCTGTTTCAAAAGGAAAGGTGGGAAGGGTATCTATACTTGAATATCCTAAAAAACTCAAACATTATCAAAGTAATTACAGAAAACTGAGTCATTTATTTAGGGCAATTCAACATTTTTAAATAAATTAGGAATTATTAACTACCACATGCTTGTTGCCACACAGAATAATCAACTAAAATTCAATAATCTTTGTTGAAGTAGCTTGTACTCATTTTGCATTAATATGCAATTAAACATAAACATTGATGTTACATGATCTTATATGATTTTTTGTGTACCAGATCATGTACTCTTACTTAGTGTGTCCATGTGTGATATGTGTAAAGCAGTTTTTCTTGATGCAAACATGCATCGCTTTTTACTAGATGACAGTTTTTAGAGAAAAGGCATGGAGTTTTAGAATTAAAACCTACTCAGTGTTCTTTGCAATCTGCTGTGGGTATCCAAGAAGGGCCAGACCCTTCTTATGTTTTCAGGAGAGAAAACAATTAATTAGCAAGTTCCAATATGTTTCCAAAACTAAAGCTAGGATAGGGTGGATGACCTGGTACCAAGATACCCCTGAGGGCCCGACGGCTTCCTTTTATATGCTGATGGGTTTCATTATGATTCTTACAGAAAGAAGCCAGACATTTTTAGGCTAGACTGCATATGGCAGGTTAAACCAATAATCCTCTTTTGTATTTCCCATAAATCATTTTCAAAGTTAAAATTGTATTTGCAGTCTATATACTGAATGTCACTGTATGTGTCACTATATTAATAAGTCGGCTAACTATTCTCTTGGATTAGTATTTATAAAGTAGCAATATGTCTTTTAGTTTTCTTAGATATTTAGAAAGCACAGGCTTATTAGATTTCTAGTGATCTAATCCTGAGTACAACATAAGGAATCATTGCACATGCATATATAGAGGATTAAACCACTTTGGAAATATTAGATAATATATATTTGGTTCATTATAAATCTTGTAGGATTCTGTATTACCTAATAAATAATGGAATCTTCCACATGTGTTTTCAGTATTAGTTTATTCCAAAGGGATCCTTTAACTTTTAAACATATAAGATAAACTTTTAAATGGTTTGATTACAAACTCTAAATATATTGACATTGATTTGTGAATATCTTCTCCCTTTTAAATGCAATATACCAAGAACTCAATAAAGCCATAGAGGGTCTTCACTTGCAGGTTCTGCTGATGACTCGAATATAATAAAGAACATGTAATAATGATACAGTGAAAGAGTTAACCCAGATTTGTTTCTTCTGTACATTTGATTTTGAAAAGGCAATTAACTTCTCTTATCTATAAAATATCCTTAAAGAATCTTATGATTCCTCTTAATCATACCATTTAAATTTGTCTGTTTTAAAGAAAAATACAAATTTAGGGCATGACATTGCAAACAGCCTAAGCAACCTTGTCTCCATTTAATCTGTTCTCATTAGTGGCAAATAAATAAGAAACACCAGTGTCTATCAGATGTCAGCATTATAGCTCTAAAATATAAACTTGGTATTTTTAGGTAAAGCATGATGAATAGCAGAACTAAAATATCTAAAGGGGTGAAACCAGTAAGGCAAGAATCATCAAGAAGTAACCAATAGGTAACAGAGAAAACATAAAGCAGAGTTCCTTTGCAGATAAAATTCTTCATTCATTAATCAAAGTTTATCAAATGCTGTTAAATGACAGACAATGTGCTATGTTTTGTAGACAATACGTACAGACTAGTGAGACAAAAACACTAAAACGGTAAATGACTAAAAATAGTTTTAGGTGTCTACTCAAAAAGTTTATAACTATAAGAACATGCAATAGAGAACTACAGGCAATTTGGACTATAACATTGAACGCAGAAACTTGTTTGAGAACAAGTACAAAGTGATTCTGCTTTCTCCTGCAGAATGAGGATGCACAATTGCTGGTGCTAGGTTTGACTTAAGAACCAGATAAAGGGAAGTACAGAGATTATTATGTTAAGTTCTTATGGAATGATGATACAAGCAAAAGTACAAGACAACAGTGTTCAGGAAAGAATTGATTATCATTCTTAAGTCTGAAGGACCCTAAATAAATAGAGAGGGCAATTAGCAGCCGAGTGTCCTTGGAGGCAAAAAAAAAAAAGAAGGAAAGAAAAAAATAAATCTTGCCAAATATTCACGGTAAATTACCCTAATTTGTGTAGCTACTTCATTCCTAGGAATTTTTGAATCCTTAGCTAAATGAACCAGAAAAATGCAGTTTTCTCCCGCTTATCTGAAATCCAATGGAGTAAATGATTGAAAAGAGATTAGGCTGTAGTGCTAAGCAGAGGTCAATAATGATTACCCTATACTTTTTTATGTAATTTGAATTTTATCTGGAGAGAAATGAAGAACATTTGAATGGCTTTAATGAGAAAGTATCATGATATCATCTAAAATTTATGTGAGCAAGGCTGAAGTGGGAAGAAGTGATTGGAACACAATATTAGAAATGATTAAGCAATGAAAAATGGTGGCCATGAGCCTCATAATTGGTAGTGGTTACAGGGTAAGAGAAAAGGTGGAGAATCAAAAAGATATTTAAGTGGTTGACTAGAAGGACTTAATGACTGGCTAAGAGAGAGGAAAACACTTAAGGTTTAGTCTGGGCAAATGGTTAATGTTGGTGAGTTTAAGAAATCTGGAAGACCTTAGCAGGTAGAAGGCCATGAGACATATTTATTTTGGTGCACTGAAGTGGCTATGTGAGTGGTTATGTTCAAACTTCAATTAAAAATATAACTAAAAAAAGAAAATTATTAAAGAATAATTGAATGATTACACTGGAGAAAATAACTGGGAGATCATGGGCACTGAATGGTAACTGCAATCATAAAAATGGATGAAGTAGTCCAGATGGAGCATGGACCGTTGACAAGAAAAACCAGAACAGAACCCCACAGAACAAAAGTGATTGTGGAATGTGAAGAAAACAGGAACTGACAAAGAAAACAGGAATGCCACAGAGTTGGGGGTACGAATCAGGAGAATGATGCCACCTGTTAACAAAAGATATTGTTTCTAAAAATAATGATGTAAAAGAATATTATTAATATTATTTTAATATCTTATTAGTGGGTATTATATTTCATTATTCTTATATTATTATTGTATTCTATATTACTCTTATATTATTATCATGTGTATTGGGATGGCTAAAATAAAAGTATTGGTGAGACTATGGAAGCACATTTAATGTAGTAGGCACTATACTAGAATCAGTTAAAACGCAATAGAAGGAAGTGGAGAAAGCCATTGTAGGAACCTCCTTCGAGAATTATTTGTTTCATTTTGGGTGGGTTCTACTGATAAGTCTACAATTAATTAATCTTTTCTTTGTCTACATCTAATCTGCTGTTTATCCCAGTCTGTATATTTTTCACCGGACGCGTTTTGGTTTTTATATCTGGGACTTCAACTTGGGCCTTTTTAAAACATATTTTGTGCCTCTGCTTAACACTTTGAACATATATAGTTGTTGCAATAATTATTTTAATATATTTATCTTCCAATTCTGTTTCAGCACTGGGTATTAATTATGTAATTGCCACACTACCCTGAATGCACCCAATGTATTATCTCATTATGGGTCATATGTTCCTGCCTCTTTGCATGCCTATCTTGAATTGTATGCCAGACATTGTATATTTTATCTCATTCAGTGCTGGATATTTTTCTCTCATAATAAATCCACTTGGGCTTTGTTCTGGGACATAGTTTAGTTACTTGGAAATGGTTTGATACTTTCAGGTCCTGATATTAAAATTTGCTAGGTAGGATCCATGCAGTGCTCATCAATAAGTCCCCACTGCTGAAGCAAGAGTGTTCTGTGTATTCTACCCCAAACCACCTGAATCTGAAGGTTTCCAGTGTGGTTGATGTGAACAGGCACTATTCTCAGCCCTGTGTTAGCTCCAGACACTACTATCTCTAATCCTTTGGGTGGCTTGTTTCAAGCTTTAGGTAGTTTTCTCAGGTATTCACACTGATCGGTACTCAACTGGATCCTTGACATCTCTAGAGCTTTCTCTCCGTATGGCCTTCTTCTGCAGCACTCTGTCCTAGGACATCTATGCATCATGGTCTCTTCAGGACGTCAATTCAGGGAGCCAGTTCAGCTTTGCCTGGGATACTCCTCCCTGCACCACTGTCTACAAACTCTTTAGGCAGTAACCTATTTCAGGCAGGAAGGTAAATACAGTGCCTATTACACTATTTTAGCCAGGATGGCTTTCACATCAGCATGTATTTAAATATTCCTCTACCCCCCTGTAATTCTTTAAATTATAAGATTTGGGGACTTGCTTAAATCTAAATTCAATTATTTTTGGGGGGAAAACATTTTATAGGACATAGCGTGTTTTGACAATGCATATGAGCTTAGTAGACACAGAATTTGATCTTATTTCTAGCTGTCTTCTGGGGCTCATTTTATAATAAAACCATTCATAGTTAACATTGATGCACAGGTATCTTTGATTCAAAAAATATCCCAGATATAAGGTCAAGTTTTCAGTTTCTTACCAAAACGGAAACTATCTTTACTTTATTGGACACCATGGGAGGTAATGATAACCGAGGTTGTTAAATTTTTAACAGAACAGAAAAATACTAATTTTCAATGGCTTCTAGGACTTATTTTTCAGCATATTTTATTTCTCACTTACACAAATAACAGAAAACCCACCAGACAATGTCAAAAATATAATCAAAATTATATTGTGATTATCATTCATCTGGTTGAAATTACTGTTTGTCTCTAATGAAGCATTCACTATTTTACCATAGAAACATCCTTACTATGCCACTACCAACTTTAGAGAATTCGGTCACACCCATTAATGGTCAAGACCACCTTCATTATGGCTGTGAAAGAGTCGTGGTTTTGTGGGGTTTTTTTACAATATGAGACAAGGGTAAATAGATATTAGTTTACCTAGCTTGACTCCCACAGGTCTAACCACTTACTAATTGATAAGTATAATGCATTTTTATGGACATAAAATATATAGTACAGAGTTTCATATATATTTCCAAATTCAGTGAATTTTTGTAATAATCTATGACATATATGTTCATGTCGTTACGATGTATTCATTTATATGACCAAACTTGGGTTACAAATCACATTCAGTTTTCCTTAATTCAGGGAACTTAATATCCTTTTGGTCAAATAAACCACAGGTCCTTCTGGATTTTTCTCATAGTACATTATACACATACAATGCACAAATAAAACTTTCAAATTCCTTTCACTCATTTTAGAAAGTAACAACTTAAAGAGAATTGGAGCATAAGACATTTTTCTGGCCAGGAAATTTTATAACTTCTTCTGAGTATGGCAAGGAGTATCAATGTTTCCATTGTTGCTTTAAAGCATTCATAGTTATGTTCATTAGTAAAATTGTCCTCACAGGTTGCTAAACAGTATGAATCCAAAGGAAATGTATGTAACACTGAAAATTAAACTGTTCGAGAAAGCCATGTTCCTATATATATTGTGCCTATTTAGTCTTAACTCCAGCATTACTTTTTTTCAATTGGGTCAAACTTAATTACATCAGCAGCCTTGTGTGATCAATACAACAATATTTTTGTCCTTTTCCTTAGGTTTCAACAAATTTAATAAGCCTTGAAGGTTGCTGAGTTTGCCAACTGCAGTAAATGCAAAGGGTATATGTTATACTAAATCCAAAATATTTTGAGAATCACAAGTAATATAAAGTGTGCATCATTTTCCCCCAGTAGAAGCTTGTTTTTAATAAAGAAGAATTTTGAAGTGGCTCTGCCTTTATTCTGATTGTGTATAAATGTTTTATGTATTATGTGTTGATCTGAAGCAAAGTGCACACTGTACATCAGCCACATTAATCTCTTTGTATGTGAACAAAGATGAGCAAACAAGTGGGTGATTGCAATTGAAAATAAAATATAGGAAAGGTCAGGATCCAAGAGAAAAAAAAAAAAACAAAAACAACCAACCAACAAACAAAAAGCTGAAACCTGGCAATGATCTGAAGTATGATTTAATAATTTCAGACTGAATGGGATTATTGCAATTTTCTAGAACAATATGAATAAAGCAATCATATTTTAACTCCATATGCTAGAATGACTAGAGTTATACTGATAAGAAATCTACCATAATGTATATCATCCTGTAGATATTTTATTCCATGATGATATGTATTCTAGCCTATGAGGCATAACAAAAAATGGAAGGCCGAGCACAGTGGCTTATGTTTGTAATCCTGGCATTTTGAAGGCTGAGGAAGGAGGCTCACTTGAGCCCAGCAGTTCAAGACCAATCTGGGCAGCAAAGCAAAACCTTGTCTCTATAAAAAAAAATAATAAAAATAAATTAGCCAGGTGCAGTGGTATGTACCTGTAATCTAAGAGATTACAGAGAAAGGCTGAGAGTGGTAGGATCACTTGAGTCCAGTAGGTGCAGGCTGCAGTGAGCCATGATCACGCCACTGCCCAATGTATGTGACACTGAAGGATAAACTGTTGGAGAAAGCCATGCTACTAAATGTATTGTACTTACTTAGTCTTAACTTCAGCATTACATTTTTCAACTGCGTCAAACTCAATCACATCAGCAGCCTCGTATGATCAGTATAACAATATATTTGTCCTTTTCCCTGGGCTTCAACAAGTGTAATAATTTAAATTAATTAATTATTAAATGAGATAGGGTGACAGAGTAACAGAATGAGACGAAAGAAAGAGAGAGAGAAAGAGAGGGAGAGAGAGAGAAAGAAAGAAAGAAAGAAAGAAAGAAAGAAAGAAAGAAAGAAAGAAAGAAAGAAAGAAAGAAAGAAAGAAAGAGAAAGAAAGAAAGAAAGAGAAAGAAAGAAAGAAAGAAAGAAAGAAAGAAAGAAAGAAAGAAAGAAAGAAAGAAAGAAAGAAAGAAAGAAAAGGAAAGAAAGGGAAAGAAGAAAAGAAAAGGAGTACTGACACATAAACAGAAGACTCTCCCTACCGGGAGTCGGATCAACCAATGTTGTTTTGTTTAATCATCATTGTTGCAATATAGTATACACATCACTAAGTGTACTAGGGACATAACTCAAAACGTCAGAACAATGATCAGAACATCAGAACAATGATGCTGAGAAACATCATAAAGATGAATTGAGATTGTGCAATACTGTTACGACTAACCATTTTTTTTCCTCCAAGAAGTTGTTTACATTTATATTGTCATTTTGTAGTTTAATAAAAATGTAAATGCCACTGTGAGTGAGAACAATAAGGAAAACAATGAAAGAAAAAAAAGAAGATAGGTTCCCCAGAGCACCTGAGCAACAGATGGCAAGGAAGATGGCCTGGGTCCACCGAGGAGGTTTTAGCACTCACATTGCTTTGCATGGGTGTTTGAAAGTGGAAATCACCACCTCTATTCCAGAGGCAACTGAATAAAGATGTATTCTTAGTTCAAACACTGTAAAAATGGCCTAAAACAGTAAATGGGAGTAAATATATATATATATATATATATATATATATGTGTGTGTGTGTGTATATATATACATATGTATATATATGTATGTGTATATATATATACTTATGTGTGTGTATATATATATGCAACAGTATATTGGGAGAAGTAACAATGATAAAAATTTCCTTTAGCTCCAAGGTAGTCATATTGTACTTAAGCACTTTATTTCATTTTAACCCTACTTGTGCCCATCCTTGATATTTTCACAATTTACAAATTGGTAATAAGGGTAATGTGGTGATGCTTAAATTGAAAAAAAAAAAAAAGAAACAAAACAAACAAACAACAACAAAAAAACAGTGCTTGTAAGAAGAGGGAGACCTTGAAAGGTCTGTTCCTTTAAACTAGTGCCGGGTAAATGCAAACCCTGTTGTGGATCTGACTACTAGATGGCAAACTGACTTTTAAACTCATCTTGGAAACACAGATGTAAAGCTGGTGTATGAGTATTCTTCCGAACCAACAGGGTGTGTATGCACACACACAGAGACTGATTTTAGGAAATTGACTCACAGGATCATGAGGGCTGGCAGTCTGAAATCTGCAGGGTAGGCTAACAGGCTGGAGACCCACAGAAGTGTTGAGTGGCATTCTTGAGTCCAAAACAGTATGGAGGCAGTATTTCTTTAGGTTGGAACTGGTTTTGAATAGGTTCCTTTATTGTGGAACCTGTTTAATAATTTAGAGGAGTTCCCAGGACTATTGCGTAAATTGCACTGGGTGGTACATGCACAGGTGTATTGTACTGGAGATTAGCCAGAGAGAGTACTGGTGTGTACTGCAGTGGTTCTCAGACCTGGCTGCAACTAGGACCAATGGCAGAGCTTTTAAAATGTACCAATGCCAGCCCCTTTTCATCAGTCTTATTTAATTTGAAAGCTTCCCTTGTGATTCTGATGTGCACCCAGAGATAAAAACCACTTTTATGGGAAGTAGAGGTGTCTAGAAATAATTAGGAGAAGTATATCATCTCTCATATGTCAAGATATAAACTTGAGCATTGCTCAAGTTCACAGATTTACTATATAGTATCACATTGTCTTGAGTATTTGCCCGGAGCTACCAGAAACATTCCTAGATGTAGGTGGTACATCAACAAAACATAATTCTTTCTCTGACATTGATTTTTTACCTAATATAGAGAACAGTTTGTCAAAGGATCTTTTAAGTGAAAGTAAAATTAATACGATGTAAAATCCATGCTATTCAATGGTATTTCATATTTAAAATAATGTAATACAAGAAAATTCTAACATCTACAAATCAGTTACCTTACATTTTCTGAGGGGAAAAAACTTGTCACTGCTTTTACGATATCAGCGTCACTGAATGAACTTCATTGTATACATTTATTACATGCCTACTGTGAGCTCTGCCTTTCCTTAGACAGTGGGGGTATAATGATTACCTCTAGAATACCTGCCCTCTGGAGCTCATCATTAATGGGGAGCCAGCCAATACGAAAATATGCACAGAGATTACTATTTATATCATTTATTTCCTAATTCGGTGAACTACAAACATGGATGAAGTGATGAAAATCAACCTGAAAAATAAGTCACATATCAAAACTGAAAATCAAAGTATACTAGAGACAGCTTAATTAACATAAATAAAACCTATCAATAATCTATCAGATATCTACTTTGGCCTAACTTTTATGTTAAAATTCATAGATCATATAGAGATAATTCATTTTATTTAAGGAGTTTAATATCTAATTGGAGGTAGCAGAAATATTATGTGATGATCCACAATAAATAAATAATAATAATGGTTACATTTGTTAATCAATTACTACATATTAAACACTTTCAGCGCCTACATCCGCTGACTCACTTAATTTTTATAAAAACATATGAAGTGGTAACTACCATTTTGCCGATGAGGAAATGTGTAAAATTTGTAAGGGAATTGCTCAAGTTATACAGCTAATCCCTGGTCAAATTAGAATAAAAATAGAAGATAAGAAAAATTGGAATGGAGAAGAAGGACTCAAGAGAAACGTCTGGCATCGAAACGCTGACTTGAAAATCACTCACATAGAGATGACCATGGAAGATACAGGAAGGAACTGAAATCACCTAGGAAAGAATATAACGGGGAAAAAAGAAAACAGTTCCCATTCTCCCCAGACCCTTTTTCCACTCTTATTCTCCCTACTTCTTTCTAGCGTCTCCCACTATGGGCAATCTTTGTCAAGTGTATTACCCAAAACACAGCACACCTATTTATATCTGCCAAGAGAGAAAATAGTCTTTTTTCAGAGATGTGCTCTTTTTCCCTTTCTTGCCCATACTGAATGCTCCCTGATCTATCCACTGGGAGCCTTTCAGGCTGCTCTATCTACTGGCTCTCAGGACATATTTCACATCACCCTTGTTTTGCTCAAGTTTAGTTATTTATAGGCGTATCTGTCATTCCCAGGGATTGAGTACACCCTCAAGGAGAGTTCCTCAATTATAGGTATTAATTTATGAGTTATTCAATAAAAGAATGAATCTCTAGCTAGGGCAATGCCCCAGTTTGAAACAAACAAAAATCCAAGCAAATAAAATGAAATCAAAAACCAAAACAGGAAAAGAAAAAAGGCAGGCTGAGGCTAGTTCAGTAAGACTGTGTTCCTGGCAGCAAGATTGGAGCAGAGACAGAGTTGCTGTACACTCACTCCCATGAGAGGAAAAGGAAACAGGAGGAAAAGAAAAGCCTGATCTTGGCCTGACTTTTTTTTTTTTTTTTTTTTAACTAGGGCATTGCCCTGGTTGGAGATTTATTCTTTTAATGATTAATTTGAGACCAAAATATCTACAAAATGAATATTTTATAAACCTTCACTCTCTACAGGTTTAATTATATATTTTAATGTCATGGGATGG
Organism: Homo sapiens; assembly: GCF_000001405.40. NCBI lineage: Eukaryota > Metazoa > Chordata > Mammalia > Primates > Hominidae > Homo > Homo sapiens. The sequence continues at coordinate 55,467,527 of NC_000010.11, forward strand.
ATGTTAGCCATATTTTATCACTGTTAGTTAAACCATATTTAAGTTCCAGTAAGAGAATGGCAGAAATAAGCAGGATATTTTAAACTCCAATTGTCTCTCAGACATGAACAAAGCTATCAGAAAAAGAGCAACAAGTTTGACTAAGAATTAAAAGTGAGGCTGGGCGTGGTGGTTCACGCCTGTAATCCCAGCACATTGGGAGGTCAAGGCAGGCGGATCATGAGGTCAGGAGATCGAGATCATCCTCGCTGACAGGGTGAAACCCCGTCTCTACTAAAAATACAAAAAAAATAGCCGGAAGTGGAGGCGGGCACCTGTAGTCCCAGCTACTCCCGGAGGCTGAGGCAGGAGAACTGCTTGAACCTGGGAGGTGGAGCTTACAGTAAGCCGAGATCGCGCCACTGCACTCCAGCCTGGGCGATAGAGCCAGACTCCGTCTCAAAAAAAAAAAAAAAAAAAAAAAAAGAATTAAAACTGGTCTGCCAGGACTTCCTTCCATCCACCCGATGGTCGTTTCTTAACTGAGAGAATCATATCCTCAAAGAATAAATGTGGATATTTGTGAATTGTCAGAAATGTGTTAGTAAACAAGCAGTTTCTCAAGAGCAGGGGGGAAAAGTTAGTGACAGAAATATGTTCAAACAGCTTTATTCCTAGGAATGTGCTTCCTCAGAGAACACTAAAATCATTCCTAGAAAGTTGCCCAACTTTTACAACTCAGATAAGTCTGCCTAGTGACTTTTCGTTGTCGTTGTTGTTAGGGCATTAGATCACAAGAAGGAAAGTAGAAAATGGAATTTAGAACACTTTGATTTCTTTTCAATCATAGTTTAAGCTAGGATTGGAATTTTGAGCTGAAAGCTAATTCCTGAGTAGCATTAAATTTCCTACCTCCTTGCAGGGAAAGGCCACAATATTCTTAAATTTTAACTTGTGGGCGAAAAATTGCAAAGCTAAAATGGGTTTTGAGGTCTGTTTCCTGCTGTGAAACATAGATTATAGAACTTACTTTGATTCTAAAATAGAAATACATTTTTTTATCTACCATAATGTAATTAAAGCAAATGTTTATCTGAACAGTCTAAATAAAGCATTTTGGGTTATTGTTAATTGTTATCCTCTGCTACAGATTTTGTCTAAGGTTTAGTCTTTAGTGATAACATAATAAAACACCTGCTTTAAAAAATATTTGAATTTCATTTGAGATTTATAGGTGGTATTCAAGCCAATTAATGTACTAACAAATTAACAGGGTTTTTTACTTGCTCAAATTTAAGAAAAACATTCTACCCTGAACTATATCTCCAGCTTTAAAGCAAGAGAAGAATCATAATACTTATCTCTTATTTTCACACACTGTCACCTAATTAATTCTTGAAAAGCTTGGGGAATTGTGCTTTGATCCTGTTTTTAAGTTATCAAAATTAGCTTTATGTTCATCAACTATGGGCTGTTAAAACATCAACTGTCATAGTGAAAAAAAAGTGTTTTTTTTAAAAGAAGCATCTGATAAATTGGAATCAAATTAACGTTTTAAGCTGTCATTTTAGGAAACAAAAAATCAAGAAACAATGAAACAGAAAAAATATTAGGTGGAGCTACAGATCTACAAGTATTGAAATCCAAGGACAGAAGAAGAGTGGCTTATGGATGATACAATAGAGAAAAGGAAACAAAATACAGAGGCAACAGGTAGCTTGAAAGAAACTAACACCTGTATTGAAAATTTACATTTCCCTGGTTTTGCCATATTTAGGTATTAAAATATATTTATAGCTTTTTGTGCGTTAACTTGCAACAATCTGCTTTATGATTATTTTCCATATTTTTAAGCAAATTGTTGAAAAATATTTATGTATGTATATATGTATGCATATATCTGATCTGAGCAATAACTAATAATTTTTATAGAAATACATTTCTAATTTTTTCTAAACATTGCTGTTTCCCTTGCCAGTATGTTAGAATTGTTTTCATTACAATCTGTAAGGATATGCTTCATTGTTTATATTGCTATTGAATATTATTGAATATTGCTCAGTTTTATATAATTATTTTCCATTAAGGAAATTTAACTTGTGTTCTATTTTTCCCCTTAAAATTAATGCTGTGAATGTTATCATCCCTATAAAGTTAAATATTTTCAAGATTTCCACTTCTACTTAAGGGGTTTTCATTTAACTATTTAATTTTCAAGAATAGTATGCATATATTTTACATCTCAGCTGTTTATTATATTGCCACAACCATTATCTCCCAAATTGTTAATTTTCATTTTCTCAAAATTTTAATAATGTTACTTACGGTTTTTAGTATTTGTGCCATACTTAGAAAAGCCAATATATAAAATTAAATATTAAATTTAATATTCTAATTATTACACTAAAGCAGTATGTATTCATCTTTCCTCCTGGTGTTTCATGGATTTGTTTTTTCCACTTTTTAAAAATATTGTAATTGCTTTTTTACCTAGAAAATATTATGGCTTAAAACATCAGATATGAATCTAATTTTTTCTCTTTTCTCTAAATAGTTAAGTATTTGGTAGATGCAGTGTCTCATGCCTGTAATCCCAGAACTTTGGGAGGCTGAGGCAAGCAGATCTCTTGAGGTCAGGAGTTCGAGACCAGCCTGGCCAACATGGTGAAACACTGTCCCTACTAAAAATACAAAAATTAGCCAGGTGAGGTGGTTTGGCCTATAGTCTCAGCTACTCGGAGGCTGAGGCAGAATCTCGTGAACCCAGGAGGCAGAGATTGCTGTGAGTCGAGATGGTGCCACTGCACTCCAGCCTGGGTGACAGAGTGAGAATCCCTCTCAAAAAAGAAAAAAAAAAAGGTCAAGTATTTGTCCCTACCCATTTATTAAATAGTTCATTATTAGCTTGATAAATGAACAGAAATCCATATATTCTTAAATTCTTCCTTCTATTTATTTTAAGTAATTTATTATCATGATAGTTTGATTAGTATACTTTGATAACAGTTTTTTTAAAATTGCCTTTAGTTTTTAGGGAGGTGTTAAGTTCATAGCAATTCCATGCAGAAGGCTTTTATGCATAGCCTCTTTTACTGTCAACATCTCTTTGTTGAGTGGTGCATTTGTTATCATTGATAAACCTACAGTGACACGTCAAATGCACCCAACGTGCACGGTTTACATTAGAGTTGACTCTTGCTGTTGTACATTTTATGGGTTTGGGCAAATGTATAACAACATGCATTCACAATCAGACTATCATACAAAGTTGTTTTCACTGTCCTAAAAACCCTCTGTGCTGCACCAGCTCATCCCTCACTGTTCCCTAAACTCTGATTTTTTTTTTTTTTACTATTTCCATAGATTTGCCTTTTCCAGAATGTCATATGGAAGTTTGGAATCTTAGAATATGTAGCTTTCCAAATAGGCTTCTTTCACTTTGTAATATGTATTTAAGTTTCCTCCATGTCCTTTTATGTCTTGATGGCTAATTTGTTTTTAATGCTGAATAATATTCTGTTATATGGATATACCACAGTGTGTTTGTCCATTCACCTACTAAACGATATATTGGTTGTTTCCAAGTTTTGGTAGTTATGAATAATGCTGCTTAAACATCTGTACTGATTTTAGTGTGAATATATGTTTTCAACTCAACAATATGTTTTAATAGCTCATACTGTTACTCTTTTTCCCCTAAAGTTTCTTGACTAAATTTATAGATTCACATATACAAAGTTTAATTTTACTTTAATGAGTATAAAAGTTGTGCTCTTTTAGTTTATTAGGGCTTATTAAATAGCCTTTAGTTTGTAGAAAGATTTTTATTAAGAACCAACATTTTCAAGAATAGAATAATGTAGAATGTGACAAAAATCATATAATTTATGAATAAGTCATATACTGTATAATCACTACATTAACCATGACTGGCTAAGTTTACGCAGGGACAGTTCATGTTCACATTAATTGTTAAAGAGTTTTCATTATATTATTAACTGATTAAAATTTGTAATGTTTTTGATGTTTTTATCTGGAATATCATTGCCCTCCATTACTGCCATGGCCTGATGAAACCACATTCTGGTTAAATCCCTGTTGGCTAGTCTGGTCTCGAACTCCCAACCTAAAGTGATCCACCTGCCTCGGTTGGGTAGTTAGTTTGTGAACACAGGAAAACAGATTATTTTTTCCAAATTGAATAACTGAATATTATAGCGGAAGCTATTGATGTTCTAAACAAGGTCTCTTTGCCCACGCCCACCTTGCCATTTACTTGCAACTGTGAGATACAGTTTCCCCAAGTTCACAACTTCTACTTAAATCTTTGCCTCTCCCCTTATATGCAGGACTATTTTTGCTGTAACCTGGGGATCTTGCCCATTTCAAATGAGCCAAACTAAAGTTAGATGTGTTTATGCCCTGGGAAAAGTGAAAGGTGACTCACGGCCAATATGGAAGGAGGATGGTGGTTTTATGCCCAGTTTCCCCATCGTCTGGTGAGATATTCTGAAGCAGGCTACAATAGGGTTTCTCAGAGTGTTCTCAGTTCATTTGAATTCCAGATTTTCATAGTGGTAACTTGCTCGTTAGTACAACCTACTGTTTGTCTCCATTCTCTTACTTTCCCTCTCTCTTTGTGCTTTCTGAGATCATCTCTGAAATAAATTAACTATAGCCAAGTAATTTTTTAATCTCTGCTTTTAAAGGAACCTCATCTAAGGCATGTATCTATTAAATTTGCTTATATCCCATTTAAATTAAATATTTTTTTCAGATTTCTCTACAGTGCCAATTATGCTTTCAACTTAATCAGGAACATGTTGAGAATAATAAGTTTTTCCATTATGATTATGTTTCTTCACATTTCTCCTAGTTTTTAATTTCAATTTTCATTTTATGTATGTTAATGCTATGCTATTTGGAAGAGAGTTCTTCAGAATCATAGTTTTGAATTAGCTTTTTTTTTTTTTTTTTTTTTTGAATGGCTACCAGAATCCTGACTCTAATAATAGGTAGAATCCAACATATACATTTGAAAAGGAGAAAAAACACATGAACTTTTTTTTGTTGTTTGTTTTGAGACGGAGTCTCGCTCTGTCGCCCAGGCTGGAGTGCAGTGGCGCGGTCTGCGCTAACTGCAAGCTCCACCTACCGGGTTCACGCCATTCTCCTGCCTCATCCTCCCTAGTAGCTGTGACTACAGGCGCCCGCCACCACGCCCGGCTAATTTTTTGTGTTTTTAGTAGAGACGGGGTTTCACCGTGTTAGCCAGGATGGCCTCCATCTCCTGACCTCGTGATCCACCCGACTCGGCCTCCCAAAGTGCTGGGATTACAGGCGTGAGCCACGAAAACCTTCCTTGAAAATCACCAAGTTTTCTTTATTAAAAGGTAATTTTATTGTTCTGTGATGGATAAAATTATCTTGAAAAATACTCAATGTCAGATGTACTTTTATGGGATTTTGTTTTTATACATGTACCCTGCTAATAATTTTGCAAAAACATGATCTTACAACATTAGAGTGGAATGTCCTAATTCAGATGAATAGAATATAAATAGTGAAACACAAATTTGGAAAGTCCTGAGTTATACAAATGGAAAACAAACTTAACAGTTGAGGACTGTTTACTTTCTCTAATATTAACGTTGTGGCAGAATAAACTCTGTGTTAATTCAGGTTTGTGGAATTGTTGCAATGCATTGTTTTCTGACCATCTAAGAAAGTGTAATTTTGACCTACTACAGCTATAGCTTTCTTTTTTATGCACTCTCTTGAAGAATAAATGCAAAAGCTCAAAAGATAACAACATAAATAGGGTATATAAAAAAAAAAAGAAAACCACCTAAATCATTCTTTTTCTTCTTTAACAAAAAGACCACAAGCCAGTGCAATCTCAGCAATAAGAATTTTACCTTGAAGGAAAAGTTGGAGTCATGGAACACTGCTGCTACTTTAAAGTATCTAATGTAACCATTAAAACAACTACATGGAAGAAGTACTTTACAGATTAGAACACCTTGAAACAGACAGTTGTGATATATTTCATAAATTATCACAACTGAAACAAGTTGCGACAGTATTCACATAGAACAGCTTTTTTCTCTCCTGAGTAAACTGTAATCCTGTAGTGAAAATAACCCCTATTGGTGATGGATCTAAAAATAGGTCTCCCATTATGCAGCAAAATTTTTGATTAATAATTCCATGTCCACTAATCTGCCTCCAATAGCATTAAGGAAAATTTGGTATGCTTTTTCTCTAATAGATTACAAAATTTTCACTTGTTGAACACTTTTAAAAGTCAAACAATAAAGCTAATATTTATTAAGAAGTCACTGCATACTAGACAATTTTTATTTATGCATTACCTTTCTTATTTTTGACAACTATCTTGCATGTTAGATATAATTGTTAAACCTATTTAAGTAATAACCAAAATCAAGGCTTGGGAAAGGTGTTTGTAAACTAAATCACTCTAATGGTCAGCAAGTGGAAAACTAAGATATGTAACCCAGCCTACTTGGCATGCAAGACCATGCCACTTCCCACCATATAATAGTATATTCATGTTGCGTTGAAGGTTAAAAAAGTGAATATTACCAATTTTCTACATTAACAAAATTCAAGATCAGATGTGTGTGCATTAACTATGAAATTGGGTAAAAATAAGTAAAAACTATAAGAAATATATAGGAAGTATAAGGAGCATCCAGACAGAAGAGAAATAGCTGGTATTTCAGGAGGTCAGAGATCTTACTACAGTACATTACACTGAATGGAAGGAGTACTGACACACTGAGCAGAAAGTAGCATCATTTTAATAACAAAAAAACTTCATAAATACAAATTTATATTTTTGAATCATTAAACTCTAAAATTAGCTTCAGGGAGAAAAAATAAAATCTTAGTAATTTTCTGAAGTATGTATATTTGGCAGGATGCCAACTTCTAAAGTTTTTAGATGAGTTTTCCTGAGTTAGCTAATAGGGAGTTTCACAGGTGAGAATCTGTCTCCATCTCTGACTTTGCATACTCCAGCATGGCCTCAGATATTATGTAATTCTCAAAATATAAGTTATTGTATTCCACTTAATTTAAATAATATTTACTTATACCATTTAAAGGAATGTTAAGTATCAAAAGGAAAACAATGAGAAGATGTCTCCCTTTCAAATCGGCTGGGAAGAGTTATGCCTGACAATTTGCTGCCTCTCAATTGCAGCTGTTAGGCTCAAGTCAGGATCAGAAGACTTAAGTCCAAATAAGATTGTTGGAACACATATGTTTTTCTTTTTTTGTATAATAATCACATATGTTAGTATTAGCAAATTCTGTAAATTCTGCCTTCAAAATATACTCTCTACCATGAATAAGCCCTGTCGATTCTATCTTCAAAATACTCTCTCCAAATTTCCAAAGAGCTTGCTTACTTGAGTTTTTGGGTGTCTGCTCAAAATATCACCTTTACAAAGGGGTAATTACTGGCCATCTAACTAAAATTAGTACCTTCACAACACTCGTCTTCGCCCATTTTGTGTTGCTATAAAGGAAGGTGCAGGGAGGGATGTGTACAGAGATCACATGGCAAGACAGAAAGCAAGAGAAAGAGGGGAGGGAGGTACCAGGCTCTTTTTAACAATCAAATCTGGGGGAACTAATTGAGTGAAAGCTCACCCGAAGGAAGGGCATTAATTTACTCATGAGGGATCCACTCTGACCCAAACACCTCCCTTTATGCCCCATCTTCAACATAGGGGACCAAGTTTCCACACTAGGTTGGGAAAAGACAAACATCCAAACCATAGCAACACTACATTCTAATCTCTTACCTGCTTTTTATTTCTAACTGTTATTATTTATCAAAACTTGCAACAATATTATAACAGATAAGATGCCCAATTATTAAGGTATCACATTATTTGAGGAAAACATTTTTAGATGTACCTGTATTGTTAAAAATGTATACAGGTTAAGCATACCTAAACTAAAAATCCAAAATGTGAAACTTTTTGAGTCCTGGTATGATGCCATAAGTGGAAAATCCTACACCTGACCTTGTAAAATAGGTTGCAGTTAAAACTTTGTTCCATAAGCAAATTCTTTACAATATTGTACACAATTACTTTCAGGCTGTGTATAAAAGGTGTAAGTGAAGGATAAATGAATTTCGTGTTTAAACTTGGGTCTCATCACCAAGATATCTCATTATGTATATGCAAATATGCCAAATTAAAAAAGAAAATCAAAATTCAAAACACTTTGGTCCCAAGCCTTTTGGATAAGTGATACACAACCTGTTCTGAAATAATATGGTCCCAAACAATCACAAAGCAGTAGCTTCCTAACTTATCTCTATCCACTTCCCTTCTCTTTGAAAATCATAATTTTAGCCAGCCCTTATTGGAGAACAGAATTAGGCAAACTGGCAATCAACTGCCAGTTGCACTATATCTGAATAACAGTCATCTCAGGTGAATATTTCTGGGTTTTACTTCATTCGACAGTTATGTATTCAATTATTTGTTGGCTTTAATCCCACACTACAATGTAGGCTCCATGAGGACAAGAACTTTGCTTGGTTCACTGCTTAATATCCAGTGCAATAACAGTAGAGGCTCAATAAGTACATGCTAAAACAATTACTGGATTGATTTGATTGCTATGGAATATGCTAGGGTGTGACTTATGTTTCTAAGAGGACTTCAGAGGGCCCCGGGCACTTTCCCTACCCACAAAATGCTTGTAGATTTTAGAAAAGTTGCCTTTGAGAATAGAAAAAGAGGCCTCTTAGTCATGGACAGAGTTTAAAAAAGCATCTGAAGTATGAGACAAAGCAGCAGTCAAATGAGTCATTTCTAGAATAGCATCTCTCATTCCATCATCATGCAGTGAGCTTCCAACACTAGATTCATGTTCTTCTGATAATGTCATTTTTAAATTGACAATGATTGGAAATATTCCAAGAATATTCTCTTTTACTTAGGAAGTTAAAATGGAATGGAAAAAAATGTCCCAAATGTTGCCATGCATATAAAATATAATCTACCCAAAGAAAGAGCAAAGGACTGATATTTGACCACTGCGTACTTGGAAAGTACAGTTCCAAAAGAAACAATGAAAAAACATATAGAAAAAAATCAGGTGGATTGATATATTGTTTGGCTTTGGAAAATTTTAAACATGAAAAAATAATAATCCCACCATACTTGATATGCTTAATGCTTACTTATCAAACCAATGTTAAAATCTGTAGGATTTTCCTTCCAAGCACTCTTGCATTCAAAATATAACTAAAGAGCATTGCAATTACATTTACTCAAAGAAATAGATTCTGTAGATTGTCCCTGATTATCTTCTTTCCTCACTTATTGTGCTGCCTCTCCCCTCGTGCCTTTACAGACTAAGAAAAAAATCCAGTTTTATTTCATATTTCTGACCTTCATGATGGTGTTGGCCCCATAATATGATACTTCTTCGACAAATAAAACATGTGAAGTGCCAAGGTTATGTTATATTTTAATACAGTAAAATGTAAGCAATAATACCTTAATTATTTGTGTGTACTAGTATATTACCCACTGTTGGAATAGGAAATCAGACTTAGCTAGTACAGATACCCCTACCTCCTCCCCAACAGATACTAAACATAAGAATATAATCATCATTCATTTTTGGGCATGAATATCTTTTTTTCCTCCTAGATAGGAGAAAAGCATTTGGTTGTAAAAGAGACATGAAGGACAGAAGTTGAGTATGGTATGGCTTGAATGTATGGTATGGCTTCCTTTCAGTGTGACTCCTCAGGCTGGGTTTGAGCAACTGTGGTTAAATAATGAAGGACAGAACTCAAGCATACTATTTGCATATGAGACAGCATAAGGGTAAGGACAAGGATTTGTGAATCAGAAGTCAAAAGACTGTTCAAAAGTGAATTATTAGATTCTGGTCATAAGCAGGACCGCTTCAGTGACTTAAGGATATAGCCTGGCAAGGATGGAAAATGGTCATTCTTTCTATGCCTGTCCAGAATTCATTGGTAGCTTCTATCTCTGTGGATTATAAATTTTGGGTGCATGGTAGAAACAAAGTGCTTGGCACAAACACTTGTGATTTCGCAAGAGATGCCATCATTTAGTGTTCTTAATGTGGCTTTTTTGATCTCATATGTTAATTAGAATGTAATAGCTATGAGGGTAAGTGATGTGCCTATTGTGTTTACCACTCTAGTCAGGTGCCTAGCACCATGCTCAGGCCAGAATATCTCCTTGATAAATATCAGTAAACAAATGAATGAAGTGCAAGTAGAAAATACTACTTAAGTGCTCTTCCTGGCCTGACTGGTACTATGTACTAAGGCACTAATTAAGAAACATAAAGTGGCTGAATAGATAAAACACACAAGACCAAACTATATGCTATCTACAAGAAATTTACTTCACCTGTAAGGACACAAATAGACTGAAATTGACAGATGGAAAAAATATTCCATACAAATGGAAACCAAAAAGTAGCAGGAGTAACTATACTTATATCAAATAAAATGGACTTTAAGTAAAAAAACTATAAAAAGATGGAAAAGACCACAGGTCAATAGAGAAAGAGGAAATAATAAATGTAAAAATACATGTATCCAATATTGATGCACCTAAATACATGAAGCAAATGTTAATAGACCAAATGGAGAGCTAGAATGCAATGCAGTGATAGTATGAGACTTCAGCATCCCACTGTTCTGCAATGGATTGATCATTCACACAGAAACTCAACAAAGAAATATAGAATTTAAAATGGACTCTAGACTAAATGGACCCAACAGATATTTAAAAAACATTCCATCCAACATCTGCAGGATACGTGAAAATTAACCAGCATAACTTGAAATACTGATGGGTCAATCAATAAATTTTAAAATAAATTTAAAAATTCCTGAGATGAATGAAAATGGAAACACAATATACCAAAACCTATAATGAAACAGAGTATAAGCAGTTCTAAAAAAAGAAGTTTACAGTAATAAACATCTACATGAAAGAAGTAGAAAGATTTCAACTAAAGGAGCTAATGTTGTACCTCAAGAACCTAGAAAAACAACAACAAACCAAACACAAAATTAGGAGAAGGAAATAAATAATAAAGATTAGAGAAGAAAAAAACTAAATAGATAAGAAAAATATAAAAAACAGTGAGATAAAGAGTTGGGCTTTTAAGAGCTAAAAAGTTGACAAATCTTTAACAACATTAAGAAAAAAGAGACAAGACTCAAATAAATTCAGGCGCGAAAAAGGAGATGTTACAACTGATATCACAGAATTAAAAAGATCATTAAATAATATTATTAACAACCATACACCAACAAATTGGAAAACCTAGGGGATATGGACAAATTCTTAGACACATGTAATCTACCAAAATTGAATCACAAAGATAAAAAAAAAAAAAAACTTTAACAAACTAATAATGATTAATGAGATTAAATCAGTAACAAAGAGTCTCCCATAAGAGAAAAGTCCAGGATCTGATGAAGATCCTGGACTCAGTTCTACTAAACATTCAAGGAAGAAAAAATACCAATTATTCTAAAACTATTCAAAAATATTAGAGTGGAAAGAATTCTTCCAAACCCATTATATGAGGTCAGCATTACTCTGCTACCAAAATCAGATAGGGATGCAACATAAAAAGATAACTTCAGACAAATAAACCTGATGAACATGCATGTAAAATTCCTCAACAAAATCCAAGCCAACTAAATCCAAGAGAACATCAAAAAGGTCATTCAGTAATATCAGGTGGGGTTTATCCCAGCAATGCAAAGATGATTCAACATATGCAAATCAATAAACATGATATATTATATCAACAGAGTGAAGGACAAAAACCATATGATTATCTCAATAGAAGAAGAAAAAGCATTTGATAAAAATCAACATCCCTTATGATAACATCTATAACATCCCTTTATAATAAATATTCCCAACTAATTATTTATAGGAGGAACATATCTCAGCACAATAAAGGCTGCACATGACAAACCCACAACTAACATTATACCGAATGAGGAAATGTTAAAAGTTTTACTTCTGAAATCTAGACTAAGCCAATGATGACTATTTTCACCACTTTTCTTCAACATAGTACTAGATGTCATAGCCTGAGCAATTAGGCAAAAGAAATAAGTAAATTGGAAAGAAGAAAGTCAAATTATCCCTCTTTGCAGACAGCATGATCTTTATATGTATAGAATACCCTACAGATTCCACCAAAAAAAGGGTCAAGACTAATAAATGAATTCAGTAAAGTTACAGGATACAAACTCACCATACAATAATTAGTAGCATTTATATATGCCAGTAACAAACTACATGACAAAGAAATCAAGAGATTAATCTCATTTACAATAGCTGCAAAAGACCTGTAAGAATAAATTTAACAGCTTTGTTCTTTTTGCTTAGGATTGCCTTGGTTATTCAGGCTCTTTTTTGGTTCCATATGAATTTTTTAATAGTTTCTTCCAGTCTGTGAAGAATGTCAATGGTAGTTTAATGAGAAAAACATTGAATCTATAAATTGCTTTGGGTAGTATGTCATTGTAATGTTATCGATTTTCCTGCCTATGATCATGGAATGTTTTTTGCTTCTGTTTGTGTCATGTATGATTTATTTTACCAGAGATTTGCAGTTCTACTTGTAGAACTTATCAGTGTAAGAAGCTCTGAGGCTGAGATGATGAGGTTTTCTAGATATAGGATCATGTCATCTGCAAACAGGAATAGCTTGACTTCCTCCCTTAATATTTGAATGCCTTTTATTTCTTTCTCTTGCCTGATTGTGCTGGCCAGAACTTTCAACACTTTGTTTAATAGGAGTGATGACAGAGGGCATCTTTTTGTTGAGCCAGTTTTCAAGGGGAATGCTCCCAGCTCTTCCCCATTTAGTAAGATGTTGGTGGTGAGTCTATCATATATATTTTTGTTATTTTAAGGTTTGTTCTTTCAATACCTAGTTCATTTAGAGTTTTTTTTATCATGAAGTGATGCTGAATTTTATCAAAAGCCTTTCCTGCATCTATGAGATAACCATGTGTTTGTTTTCTATAGCTCAGTTTATATGATCAATCACATTTATTGATTTGTGTATGTTGAACCAACCTTGCATTCTTGGGATGAAGCCTATTTAATCATGGTGGATAAGCTTTTTGATGTGCTGCTGGAGTCAGTTTGCTAGTGTTTTGTCAAGGATTTTTGCATCAATGTTCATCAAAGATATTGGCCTGAAGTTTTCTTTTTTGTTATCTTTGTATTTCTGTCAGGATTTGGTATAAGGAGGATGCTGGCCTAATGTAATGAGTTAGGGAGGAATCTCTCCTTTTCAATTTTTTGGAATAGCATCAGTAGGTATGGTACAGGATCTTCTTAGTACACCTGGTAGAATTCAGCTGTGAATCCATCTGGTCCTGGGCTTTTTTAGGTTGATAGGCTATTTATTACTCCCTCAATTTCAGAACTCATTATTGGTCTGATCAGGGATTTGACTTCTTCCTGGTTGAGTCTTAGGTGTGTGTATGTGTACAGAAATTTATCTATTACTTCTAGATTTTCTATTTTATGTGCATAGAAGTGTTCATAATATTCTCTGATGGTTGTTTGTATTTCTGTGGGGTCATTGGTAATATCCCCCTTATCATTTCTGATTGTATTTATTTGAATCTTTTCTGTTTTTTACTTTATTATTCTAGCTAATAGTCTATTTTACTAATTTTTTTCAGAAAAACAGCTTCTGGATTCATTGATCTTTTCAATGGTTTTTAGTGTCCCTGTCTCCTTCAGTTCAGATCTGATTTTGGTTATTTCTTGTCTTTTGCTAGCTTTGGGATTTGTTTAGTATTGGTTCTCTAGTTCTTTTAGTTGCAATGTTGGGTTGCTGACTTGATATCTTTCTAACTTTTTGATGTGGTTTTTTAGTGCTATAAATTTCCCTCTTAACAATATCTTAACTGTGTCCCAGAGATTTTGGTATATTGTGCCTTTCTTCTCATTAGTTTCAAAGAAATTCTTGATTTCTGCCTGCATTTCATTATTTACTCAAAAGTCATTCTAGAGCAGGTTATTCAACTTCCATGTAATTGTATAGTTTTGAGTAAATTTCTTAGACTTGAGTTTTAATATGATTCTTTTGTGGTCTGAGAGACTGTTTGTTATTATTTTAGTTCTTTTGCATTTGCTGAGGAGTGTTTTACTTCCGATTATGTTATCAATTTTAGAGTAAGTTCCATATGCCAATGAGAAGATTGTATATTCTGTTCTTTGGGGTGGAGAGTTCTCTATGTGTCTATCAGGTGCATTTGATCCAGCACTGAGTTCAGGTCCTGAATATCTTTGTTAATTTTCTGTCTCAGTGATCTAATACTGTCAGTGGGGTGTTAAATTTCCCCACTATAATTGTGTGGTAGTCTATGTATCTTTGAAGGTCTTTAAGAACTTGCTTTATGAATCTGGGTGCTCTTGTATTAGGTGCAAATATATTTAGGATAGTAAATCTTCTTGGTGAATCTAAACCTTTACCATTATGTAGGCCTTTTTGGCTTTTTTGATCTTTGATGGTTTAAAGTCTGTTTTGTCAGACACTAGGATTGCAACCTCTGCTTTTTTCTGTTTTCTATTTGCTTGGTAGATTTTCCTCCATCTCTTTATTTTGAGACTTTTTGTGTCATTGCATGAGAGATGGGTCTCTTGAAGACAGCATACTAATGGGTCTTGGTTCTTTATCCAGATTGCCACTCTGTGTCTTTTAACTGTGGCATTTAGCCCATCCAGGTTAGTATTGTTATGTGTGGATTTGATCCATTCATCATGATGTTAGGTTGTTATCTTGCAGACTTGTTTTCATGATTGCTTTATAGTGTCACTGATCTCTAAACTTCAGTGTTTTTGTAGTGGCTGCCAATGGGCTTTCCTTTCTGTATTTAGTGCTTCCTTTAGGAGCTCTTACAAGGCAGGTCTGGTGGTAACAAATTCCCTCAGCATTTGCTTGTTTGAAAAGGATCTTATTTTTCCTTTGCATATGAAGTTTAGTTTGGCTGAATATGAAGTTCTGGATTGGAATTTTTTTCCTTTAAAAACATTGAATATTGGCCCCCAATCTCTTCTAGCTTGTAGGATTTCCACTGAGATGTCCGCTGTTAGTCTGATGGGCTTCCCTTTGGAGGTAACCTGGTCTTTCTCTCTAGCTGACCTTAACATTTTTTTCTTTCATTTCAATCTTGGAGAATCTGATGATTATGTGTCTTTGAAATGATCTTCTCCTGGAGTATCTTACTGGGGTTCTCTGCGTTTTCTGAATTTGAATGTTGGCCTTTCTAGCTAGGTTGGGAAAGTTCTCATGGATGATAGCCTTAAATATGTTTTCCAACTTGGTTCCATTCTTCCCATCTCTTTCAGGTGCTGGGATGATTGGCTAGCCATATGCAGAGCAATGAAAATGGACCCCTTTCTTACACTGTATATAAACATTAACTCAAGGTGGATAAAAGACTTAAATGTAAAACCCATTCAGGACATAAGCATGGGCAAAGATTTCATTATAAAGTTGCCAAAAGCAATTGTTAACAAAAGAAAAATTGACAAATGATATCTAATTAAAGAGTTTCTGCACAGCAAAAGAAACTGTCAACAGAATAAACAGACAACCTGAAGAACAGAAGAAAATTTTTGCAAATTATGCATCAAAGGTCTAATGTCCATAATCTATAAGTAACTTAAATAAATTTTTACAAAAAAAAATCCATAAAAAAGTGGGCAAAGTACATAAACAGACTCTTCAAAAGGAGATTTACAAGCAGCTAATAATTATATTTAGAAAAGCTCAACATTACTGTTTATTAGAGAAACACAAATGAAAGCCACAATGTGATGCCATCTAACGCCAGTCAGAATGGTCATTAAAAATAAAAAAATAACAGATGCTAGTGAGATTGTGGAGAAAAAGGAATACACAAGGAATACACTTATACATTGTTGGTGGGAGTGTAAATTAGTTCAGCCATTGTAGAAGACAGTGTGGCAATTCCTCAAAGATCTAAAGACTGAAATATCATTCAACACAGCAATCCCATTACCACATATATACCCAAAGGAATATAAATTATCCTATTATAAAGACACATACTGTGGTGGTGTGTGTCTGCAATCCCAGCTACTTTGGAGGCTAAGGCAGGAGAATCACTTGAACCTGGGAGGCAGAGTTTGCAGTGAGTTGAGATCATGCCACTGTAGTACAGCCTGGGTGAAAGAGTGAGACTCCATCTCAAAAAAAAAAAAAAAAAGACACATGGATACATGCATGCATATGATCACTGCAGAACTATTCACAATAGCAAAGACATGAAAGCAACCTAAATGTCCATCAATGATTGACTGGATAAAGATGTGGTACAAATACACCATGGAATAATACGCATACATAAAAATGAATGACATCGTGTCCTTTGCAGGAACATGGATGGATCTGGAGGCCATTATCCTTAGCAAACTAACACAGGAACAGAAAACCAAATACCATATACAAGTGGGAGCTACATGATGAGACACATGGACACTGAGAGGGGAACAACACACGCTGGGGCCTTCTGAAGAGTGGAGGGTAGGAGTAGGGAGAGGTTCAGGAAAAACAACTAATGGGTACAAAGTTAATACCTGGTTAGTAAGATAATCTGTACAACAAGCCCCCATGACACAATTTTACCTATGTTGCAAACCTGCACTTGTACCCCTGAACTTAAAGTTAAAAAATAAAAAAGGATAAAATTTATAAAAGTTGTCTATAAAAATTATAAAAGATCTCTACTATTACAAAATCCAAAACATATATGAAAATATGGAAGAGAATACAAACAAATGGAAAGTCATCCTATCTTCATCCTATGAAGTGGAAGAATTAATATTGTTAAAATGTTCATACTACCAAAAGAAATATACAAATTCAATGCTATCCCTAACAAAATACCAAGACATTATTCATAAAAATGGAAAAATAATCCTAAAATATGTATGGAACCATGGAAGACCCCAGATAGCCAAAGCA
Source organism: Homo sapiens (assembly GCF_000001405.40). Taxonomy (NCBI): domain Eukaryota; kingdom Metazoa; phylum Chordata; class Mammalia; order Primates; family Hominidae; genus Homo; species Homo sapiens. The sequence goes on from NC_000010.11 coordinate 55,484,591, forward strand.
GCCTTGAGCAAAAAGAACAAAGAGACAGCAAACTACCTGACTTCAAGAAACACTATATAGTCATAATAAACAAGACAGCAAGTTACTGGCATAAAAACAGACACCAGAGAAACAGAATAGGGAACCCAGATATAAATTCTTGCATTTACAGCCAACTGATTTTTGCCAAAGGCACCAAGAACACACACTGGGGTAAGGGCAGTCTCTTTAATAAATTGTGCTTGGAAAATGTGATGGCCACAGGCAAAAGAATAAAACTAGACCCCTGTCTCTTACCATATACAAAAATCAATTCGAAATGAATAAGAGTTAAATCTAACACCCAAAACTCTGAAACTACTAGAAAAAAATAACATAGGAAAACACTTCATGATATTGTTCTGGGGAAGGATTTTTTTGTCAAGACCTCAAAAGAATAGGCAACAAAAGCAAAAATAGGCAAATGGGATTTTGTCAATCCACAAAGCCTCTGCCCAGCAAAGGAAACAATCATCAGAATGAAAAGATAATTTAAAGAATGGGAGAAAATGTTTGCAAACTATGTATCTGACAAATGATTCATGTTTAGAATGTATAAGGACCATAACTCAATAGCAAAAAAATCCTAATAATCCTGTTGAAAACTGGGTGAAAGATCTGAATAGATATTTTTCAACAGAAGATATGCAATTAGCCAATAAGTGTCACATTTATGACTAGTGTGCCATTATTGGAATGCTAAGTGTGTGGGAGTTATTTATATCCCACTGCTTAAGGTCATCACCAAGGTCTGATTGCAAAAATTCAAACAATTGCAACCTCAGGCATAAATGGGTTAAAAACATGCTCATCATCACAAACATCAGGAAAGCACACATCAAATGAGACATTATTTCACCTTAGTTAGAATAACTATTACCAAAAAGACAAAAAAATAACAAATATTGGCAAGAATGTGGAGAAAGGAAAGCTCTTGGGAATGTAAACTAGTAGAGCCATTATGGAAAACAGTATGGAGGTTCCTCAAAAAATTAAGTATGTAACTATCATATGATCCACAAATCCCACTGCTGTATATATATGCCAAGGATTTAACACAGGTATGTCAAGGAGGCGCCTGCAATCCACGTTTAGTATAGCCATTATGGAAAAACCATATGGAGGTTCCTCAAAAAATTAAATATAGAACTACCATACAATCCAGTAATTCCACTACTAGGCATTTATCCAAGGAAACTATATCAGTATATTGAAGAGATACTTGCATTCCAATGTGATTTATGATAAACACTTGCTTTCCTTTTGGGGTCTGGAACTTCGATAACCATAGTCAGTCACATAGACTTTACATCCCTACAGAACCAATCCGTAATAAAAATCCTGTATTTCTAGGCTAGGTGAGTTTCCCTGTCAAAAAACACTTTGCACATGTTGTCAAAACTTACTGATGGATGAATTAAGTGTGTGCTTTGCAATTCTACTGGGAGGGCACTCCTGGAAACTTGTGCCTAATGTGCTCTAGTTATGCCCCATTTATTCCTTTGCTGCTTCTGTTTTGTATTCTTTCACTGTAATAAATTGTAACTGTGAATACAATGACGACCATTTCTTGTGGGTTATATTATCAAATCACCAAACGTGAGGGTGATCCTGGGGATACCTTCCATAATAGTTTTTAACCTAAAAAATAAATGAAGGAAACAAGAAATAAAAAGCAAATACAGTTACTCAATAGTGAAAAGAGTAATCAACCAAATATATCTATTTATATCATTTTGCAAATTTTTTCTATATGTATGAGTTGAAGAATTTTTTACATACAACATATGTATTCTTCAAATCAGAAATGCTTCAAACCATAGCCATAGAGAAAATATAATAATTTATATGTTGTACATTTTATATTAATAACTAAAATATGTAGGTTAGTTTTATAAAAACACACAATAAAATTATGCTTTTTTTCTGGAGACATGAATTAGTCTTGTCCATATAGGGTCCTTGGAAAGAGGTAATGAACATTGATTCCTTTCATTCCAGAATGCTATTAAGATGAAACTCCCTAGGCTTGTATAGGCTCATAGTTTTGCTGAATCTTTTTTATTTTATTATGTTTTTTAGAGATTGGAGTCTTTCTATGTTGATCAGGCTCATCTCAAACTCCTGGCCTCAAGTCATCCTCCTGCCTCTGCCTTCAGAGTCACTGAGATTACAAGTGTGATTCACTGCACCTGGCTTGTTGGAGCTTACAGTCTTATTAATCAATGCTTCTAAACAGAGGCCTCTTCTCACTGCTCATTTCCCTTTAAGCAGTTTTACTATGTATCAAGAACCAATATTTTATGGGGCAGAAAATCTCCCTACCTACTAAAACTTCAACATTTCCACAAAATGCCTGTACTTCATGCTTGACTTAAATGGAAGATATTTTTTCTTTTCCTCATAAAATAGAAGTTTATTTTTAAATCTATACAAATTATAATGACATTTGGGTACAGTCATTTACAGTATAAAGACATCCTGCTTACTGTCATTTGAACTATTTATATGATATTTATAAGCCAAATGCCTTCTACATTTATGATTACATTGTTTGACCAATTATTCTGATATTTATGGGTCCTCATTATTGCTTCAGTGGAATACTTATTCACCCACATTCAGAGCATTGAAACTTAGCTGACAGCTTTTATTTACATCAGCTTTGATATCTTCCACTTTCACCCACTTCTGGGGCACAATCTCATAAGCACAACTGAGGTTTGTCATCATCAGATTCTTTCAACTTCATTTACAGTCACCATTTTTCTTTCTTACCATCTCCCTGAATTCTAAAACTCTCGCACATCCATTTATCAAGTATATAACAACACTCAAAGAATCCACCCATTTCCTTTGTGTGTTTATTTCCTTTCCTTCCTTCATTCTCTACCTCTCATAGCATCTATCTGAGGCACATCTATTTAAGCATTTTATAGCCAGCAGTCACAACTTTCTTATTTGTCTCACTGCTGAATATACTCTGACAATAGCCTGCTTAAATCCAGCTGTCATTCCACTTTTGATTACTGCTAGAGTGCTACTATGAAATTTGATGGCACAATAACATGCAATATTTAATTTCAGTTGGCTACTTATTAGATTTTCCTATAAATCACCAATAGCATATATTTGAGTATTGAAAACACACATGTATAGCATCTATTGCCAGAGCCTACATGTCTTTTAGAGTCTGTTCTGTGATAATGACTATACCTATCACATTGTAATTTTAATTATGACACTTGTCTTCATGACTGTATATAATTAAGCCTATACTCAAGTTAAAAAGAGGTGAACATAAGATTTTAATAAATTCAAAGTCATAATCAATAAGATATTTAATTTTAGAGAGAGAATGGTTAGCCTTCAGATTTATTTAAAATATAGTTAGGTTCAGTCCTGCAGGAATGATCAAATCTAATGTGCAATTTATTTTATGGTGGCTAATATCAAGGTAAAGGTAACATTTCCAAATAAAACACTGCCAATTTATGCTTAGATTTTAAATACATTGTAATTTTCTCCAACTCACAAACATCCCACCCACCATTTTAAAATTGGTATTAAGTGTATATTTTCTTTAAAGTCCACAATTTAAAATGTGGCTTTACACTTTTTTAATCAAAACATTTTAATTATTTTGGCTAAAGTTTATTTTAAGATGTTCTTAGACGTGAGGCTCATTTTCTCAATAAACAACAATTGATTACTACTTATGAGAGTGTCTACAGTGTAGTGCCTTAAGGAATTATCTAAACAGAACAGCCGTTAGTACATTAGCAGAACATAGCCTATTATCAATCAATGCATAGCAAGTTAGGTAGTCATGTCAAATTTCTTTGGCAGAGGAACTGAACTGGAGATTTTCATTACAGGCAGAGGAAAGGTAATTGATTTTGACTTTGGACATTTCAAATAAATATCAGATAGTTCATTTCTGTTGATGTAGCTATTTTTCAGACCATTATTATTAATTAAGTATTAAATTACATATATACCCCAATTTGAATTTTTTTCCTAGAATTATCAGAGCCAATTAGGATAAAAGCTGAAAAAGAAACTTAGTTTCATCTGCTTTTGGAATAATTTTACATAAAGAAGAACAACAGTTATTGAATCATCATCACCAATTTAAAATTATCATGAGAAGTATAAAACAGTTACCTAGAAATTCAAAGTTGCCAATGGAGAAATATTTGCCTCATACTGGTGAGCATTTACAGCCTAAAAAGTTTGTTTTTAAGCTAAAATGTTATCCAGCAATGCATTAAGAAACACACTAGAATAATATTCAGAAAGTAAATGCAATAAAAAGTGTTGTAATCTTTCTTTTAAAGTGATATTTCAAGAAGTTTAGTACCACCAAAAAAAAGGTAGTGTTGTATAAGACATTAGCACTAATATATTCAAATCAAACTGAATATTATGATTTAATTATAAAAAATTATTTTCCATATACTCAACTCAATATAAATCAATTATTTAAGAGACATATACAACTTGAAATACTTAAACCACCATCACTTTTATTTTCTTTTAAAAGAAAAATAATTACCTACAGAGGCAAGTTTATAAATTTAGTTATAAGATTAAAAGTCAATGCATTACCTATCTTTCAACATTCTCTAAAAATTGTCATTTAAATAGTGATTACAGAGTTTTATTTCTGCCAATAGTAAATGTGTCAGAAATATAACAGGTTAGTCTTACCATACCAGCAGTTAGAAAATTACCTCTGTCTTAATATACCATAAAATTTTATTTAAAAGCCATTGAGAAGGAATAAATATGGAATCCTATTATTTAATTTTTATATTCACTTTTTCAGAGAATATCTTCACTTTAAAATATGTGTTTTTAAATTTTCTAGGCAGTACTTAGCTTCCTAATGTAAAATTCACTTCCCACTGTTACCCCATGAATAATTCTGGTATGGAAAGCTACCTCAGTAAATCTCTCATACATCTCAAGTAAGAAGTACTTCCATTTGTATCTGCTTATCCAAGAGAGATGAGTAGTTAACATCGAGTATTGCTGTAAGAATTCCTAAAGCTCATATTTAAACACAGACAGCAAACACATGGTCTTCTATTTTTCTGCCACCTCTAAAGCATCAAAATATTATACTGGCTTGGGTAGTAAATATTATGCAATGCATTAGGTTATTCTGGTATCAATTTCAATATACACAAATAATGGCTCAAACAAGTAAACAATTTTAAAAAACCAACACTTTATGTGAAATGTGGAAAATTAATGACTCCCCAATGTAAAAGAAATTAAAGCAAAGGAACTTAGAAAGAAGTGTCCAAGTTTAAAAATAAACTAAAAGTTTACCGAAAACTCAAAAATTGTTTTTCTACCTAAAGACCTGCTTTTACCCATGAAGTTTTAACTGTTATAAAACTTGTCCACCCAAAACAAACAGAAAAAAAAATTTGAAAAATAAACAAAGCAACAATTTACAGACATTGGACAACAAGCAGCAGAGGACTGTCATGCATGTAAAAAGGGAAATAAACAGAAAGTGTTCTATATAATCCTAGTTTTCTGTCAGGAGGCAATTTAGCAACTACAATTCAGAAAGAAAACACTAACTGAATCAAAGGTTTTGCCACACTTAGGAGGCAGAGATCAGAGTTGAGGGACACTAAGGTTCCTAGAATTTGCAAGACGGAGAAATGAAGAAGAGGAAGCTATAAAGAGACAGAGTTCCACAAAGAGCTTCAGACACACAGCCATGAGTCTATGGTTGAGTAACAATCTGCACACAAAACTCCATGAGTCTGGGCAAGGAACAATTGATAAAGAAAATTCACCATGAATGTATAAGCTAAATAATTTTATTTTCTCACAAAGTGCTGCAAATCTTTTGAGTATCCACTAGCCAGTAAAGTGACATCATTGAATATATGCGGATTGTCCTAGGGACCTCAGAAGAGCCACATATTTGTAGTGGAGCTACTTAGCCCTAGAGTAAAGGCTACTCTAGACTTTACTTTAGAAAGCTAAAAAACGTACATTGAAAACAATTAAGTTGATGTGGATAATATCAGTCTAACCTATGTCTAATTCTATTGTCTAGGCAGGCATGTGTGGAAGACAGAAAAAAATATTTAAATAAATGACAGCTGAGAAATTACCACATTTAATAGAAAGCATAACACAATGGTTCCAAGAAGGTCAATAAAGCTTAAGGAAGATAAACACAAATAAAATCACGTTAAAGCATGTCATAATGAAGTTGTTATAAGCCAGATAAAAAGCCAATTTAAAGCCTTCAAAATACATATTACATTCAGAGGAAGAAAGATAAGAACAATTACAAGAACAATTATTGATCCTATTCTCAATAATACTACAATGTAAGTATTAGTGAAACTATTTTCTAAAATTATGTAAAATGTCTGGAAAATTTTCTAAGACCATATAGCATATGGAAAAATGTTTGCTCAAAAGCCTGCTGAATTTCATTGAGAATCCTTGGCATTTCAGTCACAATCTGCTTCCTTTATCCCTCTCTTTTAGATCTGTTTTGGAAGTTCTACCCTGTGTATTCTATTACAGGAACGTGTGGTCAAGAAGACAGAGGCTCCCTTGACCCCCATCTCTCAATCTATATCTGATTTCACCCTGGGTAGGATAGAGTGCCAGTATTTTTCATTCCACCTCTAGACTCAGTTGCAAAAGCTTAATTCTCAGCAATCCTGGTAGAAAGGACTGGGTCTCACTTCTCCCACCCAGCTTGTCCACGTAAGGTGAGATTCTACATCAGTCACAGCATGCTGAGAATATTGTGGCTCCTATTTCCCCTGCCCCACCTTGCTCTTCAGATGGAGGTTTCACGATGGTTGGGGAAAGTCAGAACTGCAGGGACTGCCACCTTTACCTAGTTAGTGGGGAGTAATTCCAGAAAAATGAGTCTGGCCTCTAGCTTTTGTGCAATGGCACAGGAGTTTAGACAGGGAGAGAGGCAGACCAGAAAAATGGACAAAACTGCAGCTTAGCCTGAGAGGGCTGCTTCTATTTAGAACAGAATTTGAAGAGCTCCATGTGCAAGATTGTTATTTTCAATCTTACACATGGAGCTCTTCAAATTCTGTTCTAAATAGAAGAATTTGTAAAAGTCTTGGTGGGGAACAATTAAGAAGAAATGTCAGCTCCAGAATAAAAGCAAATATGGCAGAACAGCCTGTTTAATAGAAAAAATGAGGGAGACAGCTAAGAATAGGTCTCCTGCAATCCCATTCAACTTCAGTGTTTGAGAAGGCTGTGCACAGGCACTAAGCTGCACCTACTCAAGGGCAATCAGAACAGAATGCATGGAGTGTACTTGAGAGGATTATGCAAGCCATACAAAAAAATCATCAATAGAGAGCAAAAGCCTCACTGGTCCGTGAAGTTTTAACCCTACTTCTGACCACAAACTGATTGAACAATAAGCCATTCTGATGGAGGAGTGACTACCAGGAATATAGGCTTAAAAATAAAATAAAAGCAGTAATTATTGGCTGCCTTGAAAAATTTGTGCATGAGCAAAACTTCAATGTCTCAGAAATTTTCACAAGGGAATCTATAAGCTTTTAGTTCTGGGTTGACCATACAGCAAAAAAAAAGAAAAAAGAAAAAAAAATTATCTCTCAGAGCTGTAAAAACAGCCTTTTCTCCTCAAATCACTCTCACATTCAAGGCTTAAAGGCAGAAATCCAACTGGCAAAGGGGATTTGGGCACAATATTTGACCCATAAATGTTTATATCAATCCAGGGACTACTTCTAGACAATAGCCCTTGGAATGATGCAAGCATTTATTAGTCAAAGATTGGCTAAAAGACCGTAAAAAGGGTAACAAATACAAGGAAGGATGTCAGGAGCTACACAACACAGGGTAAACAGACTTTATGGAATTAGTACCACCAGGTCACTAAGAAAGTAAACAAATAGTCAAGCAGGTAACAGTAACCCTCTGGATCAGTGAGTAGAGGTGGGATCAGTCTCAATAATGACTCAATGTAAGACCTAATATTTTCTATTTTCAATGATAATAACAGCAACAAAAGTGTGACGAGTGCACGGGGAAAAAATGCAGGCAATAGGTATGGCCTTTGAAGAAATTCAAACATTAGGTTCAGCAGAAAAAACTTCAAAGCAGATATTATAGATATGTTCAAATAATTAAAGTCAATGATGCTTAGAGAAGTAAAGGAAGACTTGATAGTAATGTCTTACAAAATATATGCTATCAATAAAGAGAGGAAAATTATAAAAAAGAGCCAAATGAAAATTTTGGAGTTAAAAATATACAGCAACTAAATGAAAAATTCACTAGATGTTGTTATCAGTAGGTTTGAGGTGGCTGAAGAAATAATCAGTAAAGTTGAGGCTAAGAGACTATACAATCTCTTAGATTAGAGAATAAATAGAAATAAACAGAGCTTCAGAGAAATGCGGTATACCAGTAAGTGTTGCAACATGATATGAGTATAACTAGAGGAGTACAGGGAGGGACAGAAAAATATTCGAAGAAATAAAGACTGAAAACTTGCCAAATTTGGGAAAAAATCTTAACACATCCAAGAAGCACAATGAACACTAGGTAGAATAAATGCACAGACCCACACTCAGATACACTAAAGTCATATTGTTAAAAAAAAAAAAAGCTAGGTGGGGCATGGTCGCTCATGCCTGTAACCCCAATGCTTTGGGAGGACAAGGTGGGTGGATTGCTTGAGCTCAAGAGTTAAAGACCAGCCAGGGTAACATGGTGAAAACTTGTCACTACAAAATATTAGCTGGGTGTGGTGTCATACACCTGTAGCTACTCAGGAGGCTGGAGTGGGACAATTGATTGAGCCCAGGAGGTCAAGGCTGCAGTAAGCCATGATCATACCACTGAACTCCAGCCTGGGTGAAAGAGAAAAACCTTGTCTCAAAAAAAAAAAGGGAAAGAATAAATAGCTAAATTCTAATTGCATACATTTGAGCCAGAAGGATGACATATTCAAAGTGCTGAAAAAAGAAATATGTGATCAAAAACTTAGTATCTAGCAAAGCTCTTTCAAAAGATGAAGGCAAAATAAAGACATCCTTATGTAAACAAAAATGAAATAACTGGCTGGCAGCTGACCTGCCTTATAAAATATGTTGGAGGAAATTCTTCAGACTGAAATTAAGTGATTAAGTGATTCTGAGCAGTCACTCAAATCCAAATAAGAAGCAAAGAGTCATGGAAAAGTTAATTATTTATAGAATTACAAAATAGAGTGTAGTGGCACATATATTTTTCCCTCCTTTTCTCAGCTAATTTAGGTAATTGCATAAATCTATATTTTCTAGTTTCTTCATGATTTTCATATTTGACAAGAATGTATGTTACATCATTAGAATCCATTTTAATTTTTAAGGCTTGTTTTATGGTCTAACACATAGTCTGTTCTGGAGAATAGTCTACATACATTACATGTTGAGATGAAAGTATAATCTGCTGTTGGATAAAATGTTCTACAAATGTCTGTTTGGTCTAGTTTGTTTATAATGTTGCTCCAGTCTTCATTTTCTTGTCAATCTTCAGCATAATTCTACCCATTAATAAAAGTAGGGTATGAAGATTTTCAACTACTATTATTGAATAATTGTTTCTTTATTTTATAGTCTACTTTGATATTCATATAGCCACTTTAGCTCCTTTATAATTTTTTGTTTTGGTTTATATTTTTCATTCCTTTAACTTTAAACTTGTGCATCTCTGAGTCTAGAATGTGTCCCCTGTAAACCACAAGTAATTGAATCAACTCACTTTTGATTGGATTGTTTAATATATTCATTTGTAATATTATTATTTTTGTGGTTGAATTTACATCTGCCATTTTGCTTCTTTTATTCTTTTTGAATTTTTCCTTTTTCTGTCTTTTGTTTATTTCCTATTTTATTGTTAAGAGGATATTTTCTAAAGTTAAATTTTATTCCATTTAATAACTTTTATTTATATACTGGTTATTTTCCTAGTGGTTGCTCTAGATTTTGCAACATGCATCCCATCAGGATCTACCTCAGATTTACAGTGATTGAAGTCCACTGAAATTAAAATCTTTACTCCTGGATAACTCTACTCCATTCCTCTCTCTTTTGATGCTAGTGAGATATATATGTAGCATAAACTTTTATAAGTTTGTTATGATTATTTCTTCATATAATCTTATGTGCATACATTTTTGAAAAACAAAACCAAAGTTGGAGAACTCATACTTCCTAACTGTAAGACTTACTACAATGTTACAGTACTAAACAAAGTGATGTACTGTCATGAGTATAGACACACAGATTAATGGAATGGAATTATAAATTTATAAATAAGCCTTAGTATTTATGGTAAATTAATTGTTGACAAGGGTGTCAAAAATAGCTTTTCAACAAATAGTGCTAGTACAACCGGATATGCACATGCAATAAAATGACATTGGACCCCTATCAAACCATACATAAAAGTTAGCTCAAATGGATTATATACCTAAATATGTATGAGTTAAAACCACAAAACTCTTACAGGAAAAAATAGGTGTATGTCTTCATGGCCTTGGATTAGCCAATGATTTCTTAAATATAAAACCAAAATTACAATCAATGGAATAAAATATACATAAACATATATAAACTCTATTTCATGAAAATTAAAAACCCTTATGCTACAAATATTAACATTAACTAAGTCAAAAGGAAAAATACAGAATGGAAAAAAATTTGAATGCCTTAAATCTGATAAGGGACTTCTACCCAGAATTTACAAAGAATTATCAGAACTCAATAATAAAAAGACATATAATCCAATTAAAAATGGGAAAGAGGTTTGAATAGACATTTCAACAAAGACCATATACAATGGCCAAAAGCAGAGCAAAGATTAATGAATAGGGAAATGAAACTCAAGACAATGCTGAAAAATAGCTTCATATCCACTAGCATGGTTGTATTCAAAAGCACATAATAACTTGTGTGCTCCATGTAGAGAAATTAGAATATTCATGCCTTATTGGTGGGAATGTAAAAGATTACAGGTTCTTTAAGAAACAAATTTTTCACTTTCTCAAAATTTTCAACATATGACCCATGAATTTCACTTCTACTTATATATTAAAGAGAAGTGAAAACACACTCCCACACAAAAGCTGTATACAAATGTTCAAAGCAGCATTATTCATGATAACCAAAGAATGGAAACAATCCATGTGCCTTTCAACTGATGAATGGATAAATAAAGTGTTGACTAACCATATAATGGAATCTTATTTGTTAATAAAAAATGAATAATTACAAATGACTATATCATAGGATTCTATTTTTATAAAATGTTTACAATAGGCAAATCTATAAGACAGAAAGTAGACTGGTGGTTTCTTACAGGTAGGGGTAGGGTGAGGTTCAAAGGGATGTGAAGTGGCTGCAAATGGGCTGAATATTTTGGGGAGGAGGAAAAATAATTTTAGATTTGCTTTCAGTGATGATTGCACACACGTGAACTTACTAAAAACTTTGGCTTGTACATTTTAAATGGGTGAATTGTATATGAGTTATATCTCAATAAAACTTAAAGACATAAATCACAGATTTCTCAGCAGAAATCCCATCAACCAGAAGATCATGAAAAAAAAATTCAAAGAAATGTGATCCAAAAAATAAATAAGCACAAATGCGTGTGCGTGCGCGTGCACACACACAGACATAGACACAGGCCTGGCTTACTTTTTTATAAATAATAACACAGCTTTGATGAATTTATCATTAGTAATGATAATATGATTTCATAAAATTTCAGCCATTAAAATGTTTATTTCCTTGTAAAACATTTTTATATTGAAAATAAAATATTTTTAAAACTAAATTTAACACACACACAGAATTAGACAATTAAGTAACTACACTGTAGAAAATAGGAACCACGTTTTTAATGGCCAGAGAAAGACTTTACAAATAATCAAGTGAGGAGGGAAATACAAACCTTGTGCTGATGAATTTAATTAGAGATATTAGTTTGAATTCATTTTAATTTTAGCATATAAGAATAGCTAGGAAAATATAGACAGAAGTATATACATGGGTATACACATATATGTCTATACATACTATATATGGGCTTATATATGGTAATCATACAATGGAAAACTGATATGAAAAAGCCAAATGTGAAAGACGAATAATCTTAATATATTGTTTTAAACTAATGTTTCAATTATTATTGACTGCTTTCATAATTGGCTAGGTTTTGAAAAGGTCAGGTAAATAAAATTAAACAATATCTGCATAACTTTCCATTGATTTTAGTAAGCTAATTTGTTTTATGAGTCTCCACAAAATAGGCAAAATATGTAGTTTAGCTGGATTTATTTAACCACAGAATACTTTTGGGGACAATTTTTAATGGGAAAGTGTTCTGTAGAAAATGACAGGCTAGAACAAATGAATTTAAATAAAATATTAAATGGAAAAAATTAAAGGAGGTAATAAAATATCAGAATACATCATTTTACATGTAATTTTTTCTTTGAGACAGCATCTTGCTTTGTCACCCAGGCTGAAGTACAGTGCTGCAATCATCACTGGCTGTAGCCCAGACCTCCAGGTCTCAAGAGATTCTCCCACCTCAGCCTCCTGAGTAGCTAGGACTACAGGTGCACACCATGACGCCTGGCTGATTTTTTTTTTTAATTTTTTGTAGAGACAAGGTCTCACTATGTTGTCCATGCTTGAACTCTTGAGCATAAGCAATCCTCTTGCCTTGGCCTCACAAAGTGTTAGGATTACAAGCATCAGCCACCGCGTCTGGCTGAAAAGAGGTACTTTTTAAAAACCTTTGATTTCGAGTTGGCTTGGCTTACTTTTCTGTAAGTAATAACACAGCTTTGATGACTTGATCATTAATAATGATAATACAATTTCATAAAATTTCAGCCATTAAAATGTTTATTTCCTTGGGAAAACATTTTTATATTGAAAATAAAATATTTTTAAAACTAAAATTAACAGCATTTAAATCAAAAGAGCAAACCAATAGAAGATATAAAACAGTGTTTCTGAATGCTCAACCAAAGTTATTTCTGGGAAAAGACTTAGTTTGAGTGTTCTGAAACCCATTTTGTAAGAATCTTTCTCTCTGAATGTTGCCTCGTCTTTCACACTACTTGAATTCATTTATTTCACATAAACTCACATCACATATCTGGCAAGATGATTCTATCTACACATAGATAAATGTAAGTGGAAAGATGTGAAATGGAAAAGTGAACTCTCTTCAAATTCTATCACGTTCAAAATGTATAAGATTAGCTGGCAATTTCTAGAATCTTGTGATTTAAATTCTTTTACCTACGGATATGTATAAATCTGTTGGGTTTAGCCTATATCTACTCTTAAGTGCAGCTTCATTAATGTTTATGCTTTTGAAGAATAAAATGGATTCCAAAGATTCCATGTTCCTTATTCAAATGTAAAATGACTGGGCAATTGAAGAATGCAATTATCTCCACCAAAATGTTTCTAAACATCTTTAAGAAGGTTGAGTTATTATATTTTAAAGTCGAAATTACATTTAAGTTTCGTTCTGTGTCTCAATGACTCATTGCAGATTTATAATTGATGAAAATGTCTACAAAGGCATGGGGTATTTGATTCTGCATGATACTTGAACCTAGATAGCTTCTGATAAAGTGAAAAGACTTCTGCAGAATATAAAATTAGTGTGCTTGTAAAATGACTTGAAATTCCACAGTATAGCTGCACCCAACAAAAGCAAATCAAGCATCCACATTTTATAAAGTGTGTTCACTTATTTCAAATAAAAAACTGTTCAAGTGACCTACTTTTCATCAAGACACTTTAAAATGAGAAATGAAGCACATAAACATGGCACCATGTGTCTGATATCTCCTGAAGTGACAAATGAATTCTGATTACACATAACCTCATTGTTCAATACTCAATTGTATCTTTGAACAATGAAAACTGAGTCATACTATGCCAAGTATGAAATATGCTCAGTACTATATAAGTAGCAGCTATAGTAGATGATTGCTATCTTCATAATGAACCTGCACCTGAACCTTAAAGCAGAAACTGACAGTGACCTTTGTGATAGACAGGATTTTAAAATAGCCTCCCAAACTCCTATCCCTTGCTATGCATGCTACATAATGGCCTCATGAGTTTGGATAGGCTATCTTGAAGACCCCATACAGAACGGGATGCAGATGTTACAGATAGAAATCAGAGCAATTCAAAGCTGCAACAAATACCATCCTGTTGACTTTAAAGGAGTAAACTGCCATGTTTGCTCAGGGCCAGATGGCAGGGAATGGTAGGTATCCTCTAGGAGTTGAAAAATTATGTCTAGTTGACAGCTAGCAAGACATTGAGGGCTTTGGTCACTGTTTTGATGCCTGTCAACTGGAGAAAATGTTTGACTTTTCCAAACAATTGGTGAGATTGGCAGAGTACTGAATTTTCACATAATTTTCATATGCATCCATAGCAATCTTGATTTCTTCTTGGTGAGACACTGAGCAGGGGAAATAGCTTATCCAAACCCAGACTCCTGACCTACACAAATGAAGCAATAATAACTACATGTTTTAAGTTGCTAAATTTGTGGTAATTTGACAGTAACAGAAAACTAATACAATTTTCATATGATCTTTCATAGGATTTGAGAAAAATACATTTGAATACAAAAACAAAATGCTATCAACCATCCTAAAATAATTGTAAAGGAGCAATTTAAACTATCTTCTTTTTATAGACTCTCCCTACACACACACACACACACACACACACACACACACACACACACACACACAAATAATGTTGCATCTCTCACCATGTCTCATTATTCTAGGTTTCTTATTCTTCATTCTAAAAATGAAATCTTAATCAGTTTTCTTAGATGTCTTTGTACATTCTTTTAAAATTCTTATACAATTTTTTTAATTGTCAAGATCAAACCCTGACTCAGCTAAAATAGATGAAAGGTTATCCAATTAAACATACATCCCCTAGTATTTGTAGGAAAGTAGCCTAAAAAAAATTCCATGTTGACATGTAATTTGTATGTCTGTTCAATTTGCAATGTTTTAAATAGCAAGTTAAAATAAAACTCTTCTAAGTTTAACTTGAAGTACAATATTAAAATGTATGATTTAAATTAATAAAATTATATTTATTTGGTAACAGTTCCTTTTAGAATAAAAGATTTCAAATATCATATAAAATAGGCTAAGTAAATGTGAAAGATGTTTTTGAAATCTACTTAATGCATCGAAATAATTAGGTAATTTTTATTGTGTGAATATAAAAATGCACACCTTTTGTAAATTATGAGATACTTGCTTTCCATCAGGTGCAAAAAGAGTTTACAAAATGTAATATCTAAGATAAATATGTTAGCTAAAAAGAGTCATATGAAATTATGAATTTTATAATAGTCAGAAAAGAAATTGTTAATGGTGATTATGGGAACAGTATCTTAAAGTTGAATATAGTTTAATACATCAGATAAGAACAGCAGAATTCTGGTAAATGACTAAGGAAACAGGTATCTTAAAGAATGTATTAGGATGTATGATATTTTAAAATTTCCTATAGTTGCACCAATTACTTTAGGATAAATTTGACCAAAGTATTGAAATTCAAAAGAAGATTTAAATATGAAGGACTAAGTCAGTTGAAGCAATTACATGAAACAGTATATTATCTTATTTTTTAGATTTAAATTGATTAGCATATTTAACTTTTACATGAGGCAGTCAGAGGGCTAAAGAGATTGTCAGAATACAAGAAAGTTTTACAAATTTCCTATTGAGTGTTGAAGTAATTATAAAATTCTCTGGAGCAACATTTCTCTACCTGTAATATGAATATGTGTCTCCCAGGAATCTTATTAAAATGAAAATACTAATTCAGTGGGACTAGAACAGAGACCCAAATTCTTCAGTTCTAACTAGCTCCCAAGTGATGACAATGCTGCTGGTCTATTGATCTCACATAGAATAGTGAGACCCTGATCATCCATATGGAATTATGGACAGAAATCTGTGTCTACACTACCTAATATTTCTGACATCTTTGGGCAACCCATGTGAACTTAGGTAAAAGGTGAAATATTTGAGTGCATATAAAGTTAGAATGCTGTCTGTAGTAAATTTTGCTTCTATGACTTTTAACCCAAATACATATAATACATATTTGTTAATATTTCACAAATATATATTGATTAGTTGACTCTTTATATGACACAGTGCCTCAATGCATTTCAAAGTGACATTGATCTTGTGATCAAAATTAACAACAGTTGGACATTTTAATGGGTTGAAGTCCCTAAGGAGATATGTTAAAGTCCTAATCTTTAATACCTGCAGATGTGACCTTATTTGAAAACAGGATCTTTGCAGATGTGGTCAAGTTAAGATGAGGTCATTAGAGTGGGCCCTGATCAAATATAACTTCTGTCCTTTTAAGAAGAGAAGACAGAGACACACAAGGAAAAGACTGCCACATAATGGCAGAGGCAGGGATTGCAATGATACATCTGCAAGCCAGGGAACACTCCTGGGGTACCTGAAGCTGAGAGAGGAAAGGAGGGATCCACCTCAAAGGCTTTAAAGGGAGTGTAGCCTTGAGAACAACTTGATTTTGGACTTTTAGCCTCCAGAACTGTGAGAGATTAAATTGCTCTTGTTTTAAGCCACCGAATTTATATTAATTTGTTATGGAAGTCCTAGGAAACTAATAAAATTATTAATCATATCTGGGGACTATTTAAAAATCATTCAAATAATAGCATTGGATAGTGATTATGTATTTGCTAATTTCCTCTATTATGATGTATTTATTAATTTTATCTGTAATAAGAAAAACAATTGTTGAGGTAGTGAAGTAAATGCAAGCCAAGAAATGAGATAATACCCCTTGATGGTTATATAGTGTTTTAGAAAATAAAAGTTATTTTAATAAATTAATTATTTCCTCTGAAATCTTAAAGCTGCCAAGTTAGATTAGGTGAATCAGAAAGTGCAATTATGCCAACTATAAGTTACAAGTTTGGAGTAGTTATGTCATTTGTGCAAATAATAAATGGTAGCAATAAACTAACAGAATCTCAGTGAAGAGGCATTGTTTAAAGCACCTGTGAATTGCATGGTGAAATGGACAGTACCATGGTCAAGATTAAAATCAATCTCTTGTTTATCAATTAATCAGTAATTCCATCATCCACACTAACTTTGTACTTGACATATTAAAGGAACATTAATGAAAAAACAATCTTTTAACAAGGCAACTTACTATATAGCCAAATTTTTAAAAATATTTAAAAATGTTTTTTTTCTTATGTAATTTCTTTACATCCTTCCCACTTGCAGGTCTTTGTAACTATGTGTGATACCTAGACCAAAACTTTTGCAATAAAAATTCATTCACATGTAAGAAAACCCTCTCCTAAGTAAAAATTAATTTTAAGCAGTGACTACCTTACTATTTTTCCTACCTGCCTTGAAACATCAGGGCTTTATTACTTCTCCTTATGGAACTGCCATTCCAGCCTCATATTGCACGTCATTTCCAATCTCTTTCTGTCCCACTTGTATTGCTCTTTATGCCGTGCCTACTAAATACAATGCTTCCTTTAGTTACAGTGTCATTGACACATGCTGTTCCATTGGCAGTAACAGCCCTTCTCATCCTCTTTGCCCAGAGAGCACCCTTTCAAGCTTAGAACCCCACCAATCATATTTTCTTGAAAAAAGCTTCCATCAATTTTCTGAATTAATGAAATACTTCTAGTATACACTATCATGATCACACGCATATCTCCATCATAACCTGGATGTCACGTTGGAGTGTCATATTTATTATCAGATAAAAATATGTCTTATTGCGCAGTGATAAAGTTTGTTTTCACACTTCCTTTTTAACCTTAAGACTTAAAAGAGTGCTTGAAACTTTAGTAAACAGTCAGTCGGTATTTTCTGAGTCAAGGGATAGAGGATTGCTGGTGAAATAATGCCTGGACTCTATTCTAGGCTCTAACAGTAATTGGGCTGATTGTTAGATTGGTCAAACTATCTTTCCTTTTTGAGTCTCAATTTTCTTATCCTTAATGTGGTTATAAATAAAGGATGTGATATGAAAGCGTAGTGCATTGGCTAAAATGTAGTACACACCAAAAATTTATTTATACTTGTTATTCTTTTTTTTCGTGTTTTGAAGAACAAATAGTTCCAATATTAAGAAACAGATTCTCAGTAGGTTAATTTTTAATAAATTAACTGCTTATCAAAATGTAACCTAACTGTGCAAAATAAATTTCTGAAGGAGCACTTTTATGTGTGACAAATTAAACATTAATAGCAAAACAACATATATTTTCCTAAATTATACAGATTAACTCATTCATTAGTTTTTATAGGAAACCATGCCTCAAATATGAAAGACATCTTATAAAAATACAGTAACTAGTTTTGAATTATTAATTCATTAAACACATATATTTAATGCTTATTATGAGTTAAGTTCTAGGTTTCAGAGTGGGACTATCTGAATTCTACACTGTTTCCTCAATACAATTACAAAGTTTTACAATTAACAAAGATAAACAACGGTTTTCATAAATTGTAATAATCTTATATATGCATAATTTGAATTAAATTTTAAATAAACTAAGTTTCTAATTTTAAAATTAAGTTTTATTAATTAAAATAAATTTAAATATAAAATAAATATTCTAAATAGCTAAATAATTTAAAATTATATTGTATTAATTAAAATATATTTAAATATATGGAATGTTTATTTTGATGTGATGGAATCTTTATTTATTTTATGTTGATAATAAAATTTAATTAATTACATTGAAGTCTTAGATTTTCATACAATCTGAAATGTAGCATAGGAAGCCAGAGGACAACATTGAAGATAATTTTAAACTATTGGTAATATTGTGAGAATAAAACATCATTTATATGAGTATTAGAAATAGTATAATGACCTCCCAAAAAGATAATCAGATAATAAGCATATGAAAAGGTGCTCCATATCATATGTCATCAGGGAAATGCAAATTGAAACAAGAAACCACCACACACTTATGAAAATTACCACAATCCAGAACACTGAAAACACCAAATCTTGTCAAGGAGTAAAAGGAATTATCATTCATAGCAAAATGGTACAGCCATGTTGGAGATTCTCTGGCAACTGTTTACATAACTAAATATATTTTTACTGTATGATTCCGCGACCAAGGACCTTGGTATTTATCCAAAGAAGCCAATCTGAGAAGGCTACATACTCTATGATTCCAACTGTGTGACTTCTAGAATAGACAAAACTATACAGAATGTAAAAGGATCAGGGGACTTAGGCAAAAGCAAGGAATGAGTAGGTGGAGGACAGAGTATTTTTAGGGCAGGGAAACAACTCTGTATGACTATAATGATGAATACATGTTATACCTTTGTTTGAACCTATAGAATTTAGAACACCAAATGTCAACCCTAACGTAAACTATGCATTCCGGATGCTAATGACATATAATTGTAGATTCATCAATTGTAAAATTAAAAAAAAATTAAAAGCACCACTCAGGTGAGGAATGTTGATAATAGGAAAAGCTATGCAAATGTGGGGCAGGTGTTACATGAGAAATCTCAATTTTGCTATAAATCTAAAACTGCTCTAAAAATAAAGTTAATTATTTGAAAATATGTTGGATATATTTCATTATTTTTAAAAATAACTAAAAAGTGCTCACATATTGTAAATGAGGTCTCAAAGACAAAAACTGTAAATATGTCATTTAAAATTTGGTAAAGTGTTTAAAATAAAAAATTCTAAAGTTAAGACATTTAGGTTTAATTACCAGTACATCCATAACTGACTATGTGACTTTAGGAAGTAATTTAGCTTTTCTAAGCTTCATTTCTCATCATATAAAAAAACGAAGAAGTAGAATTTTTCTCAACAACTAGAATGAAAAGAAAAAAATTCACCCAAATACATATCAAATGGTAACAGCATACAATAATGAATAATAGAGGCTATTACTAATGAAAAACATTACATCAGGTAATATTTTCATATTATACTGTTATTTTTATATCTGTATTGTATCTTACATACAACATAATTCAACAAATATTTTCTGTTTTATCATTCAGAAAATAAATACATAGATATAATGCATACATTTAAATGAGTTCCTTTTGGAAACAAAATTATTTACTGAGAAATACTAGGAAAATTCAAATCAAAATATGCACTTTAGTGCTTTAGTTCTTAAATTAGACAAAATATTTTTAATTTCAAGCATGTCAAACTATGTTTTGTAGCGTATTAACAAATAGGAGTTTGTCATAAGAGCTAATTTCAGGGCTTTACAATGTTCTGACTTGCATTGGAAACTTTTCTGAAGGCAAGTTTTTTGTTTTTGTTTTTGTTTTTGTTTTTCTAGAGAACACTTTGATATGAACTAATGAGAAGACACAGGAAATGTTTGAATACTTATACAAAAATCTATACTGCAGTAGAAGGTTTATACAAGAGTTAGGGCTTAAAATTAATCTGGAAATACATCTTGACAATTAATTTTAGTAATATTAATTAGTGGTGTAAGCAATTAAGAGCTATTAAAGATAAGTGAAAGTAACTATGATCTTAGATATTTATTATTGACATTTAACTGAAATTAGAGTTCATAGTAATTTGGAAAATAAAGATATTGGGAGAATACCATAAGGTATGATAACCTGGATTCTTTAAGAAAATAATAAGACTAATATAAAATAATTTTAAGGGAATTAGTAGACAAGGACATGGTGATTTTGTGACAACAGCCAAAGAATAAAAATACACAGATGACTCAAAAATCTTGAGCTGGACAGATTCACAATGATAGACAATATATGGAAGGTAGGAGTCCATGTCTTAGGTAAAGTCTGTCATCTAAGTTAGACCTGAGGAGTCTGCAATGGCAGGAGAATTTAAATTCAGTTTATTTTTACATTTCATTCATTCAACAAACATGTATCAGGCAATGTTGTAAGAGATGCTAGTTATAGTCATCAGCAAGACTAGCACAATCTATTCCTTCAAAAGTTTTATATCCTACCTAAAATGACAGTTATAAAATTAACAATTATGCAATTAGTTATTGAATCCCATATGATAAACATGTCTTAAGAGAATTCTGTCCTGTAGGAAGACTTCCTTGAGGAAGTGACATTTTAGCTGAACCTCCAGGTGGCTTTTAACTAAGTAAAGAGATTGAAAAATAAGTACAAAAACAAGAAGAAAAGAGGCATTAAATTAGGATTAGAATGTAAATGATGTCAGATTATTCAGACACCTTAGACTATGCTTAGATTTTGGTCATTAACATGAAAATGTTGTAAAAATAGCATGAAAGACTTTAAACACATGAATGATACAAGAATGATGACACTGACATCAGATTGATTCTAGTGCAAAGACAGATTAGAGGTAGAAAATGAGTGTGGGGATACCATTTAATAATCTAATGTGTCCCTCCAGGAGAAAGATGAAGGTGTCTTGGCCTAGATAACTAAGTAGATGGTGGTACATTCTTTGATTGGATGGACACTGGAGAAGACATAGTTTAGAAGGAAATCTGCTTGTTGTAAGTATGTAATGTGTTGAGTATTAGATTTCTGGGAAGTACCAAGGAAGCTATTGAATAGATAGCTATAGCTCAGAATGTAATAACATAATGCAAGACATAACACAAGGCTTCTCACGTGTCTAAAGTTGGATAATACTATTTGTGTGTGTGGGAACTCTGTCATCTACCTAGAAGAGACAAATGAAGCTATGTGAGTAGAGAGCTACATAAGAAAGTGTATTTGATTGGAATACCAAAGGGTTCACAACTGAACCATTTCAAGGCTCAAAAAGAAAAGTCAGATGACGAAGGTGATAAGGTAACTAGAAGAGGTATCGAGGAGGAACAAACAGGGTAATATTTTGAAAACTCGACACTTTATTCAAGGCTATAATTTTTATTCCCGGGAGAGTGTATAATTTATAGAAGTGTATATGGCAAGTTTCTGAATCCTTCAGCATGTGCATATACAGAATATAATATCTCACATACACTTTGATATTGTTTTAGAGCTATTTCTTAGTGGTGTCTAGTTCTCAATTTCATAATACATTTTTTAACCCCAAATCAAATAGATTTATTTTATTTTGCATAGTAACAAGCAAAATTTTGCAAACTATAATAATGGCTACAATTTTCTGAAAGCTGATTGAATATTCAGTGACTTTAAAGATTAACACATGAAATAGTAACATAGCTCATAAAAAACGTGGAATATTTGTTAAATTAAGATTATATATAGGTATATACATATAATTACTTTTTAAAATAGAATTTAAAAAATCAACCACAGCATCTATAAATTTTAAAATGTAACAATAATTTTATCTTGAAATTGCATAAGATCAAAGCCACATAATTTTTATAAAAAAAATCTCACTCAACAGGTTATAGTGGAGATTAAATGAAAAAAGCGCATGCAAAGCATTTGCCATGTATCAGGCAAATAAACATTCAACAAGTATTAATTTCTATCACAATCATAAAATATGTGGCTACTTTTAGATAATATAATGCACAGTAATTCTTGGGAGGTAAGTGGCTGTCATCTACATCTGCATGAACATGCACATACACACACATATGCACACACACATACACATACACAAACACACACACGCACACATACACACACATAAACTAGCTGAGTGCAGATATGTTTGGAAACCACTGGATTCTATATCCTTTCTTAAAGTATTATAATCTAAGCTATAAAATCAATGTTACAAAAATAAAAATAAAGAAACCCAAGTAACTTGAGTTTTCTTTTCTTTTCTTTTTAATTTTTTAATTTTTTTAAAATTTGAGATGGAGTTTCACTCTTGTCGCCCAAGCTGGAGTGCAATGGCGTGATCTCCCATTTGAATATAAACACTTTCATATAGCATAATTGGGAAAAACTGGTCCAGAAAGTGACCAATTTGGGTCTTTATGAATTTGAATGATTCGTATAATTTGACATCTTAATAACTCAGGGTCCACAAATATCTAAATACTAAAGCTTAGTCACAGAAAAGATAATGGTTCGTTGTGTGGAATCCTTCAGATTTAGACATGAGCAATAGCTGAGGTGTTTTTCTTAACCATGATCAATTTAAGAGATCCAAATTAAAATTATTCTGGCTAATTAAAAAAACATGTAATCATTGTGCCACTTTTCAGAGATAAAAATAACCTAAGGTATATCTACATGTATAAACTGAGGTATAATATCAGAACTTGTAACTTGAGTGATTTTGATAATCAAACTGGACAAATGTTACCCTACTTATTTTAGAAAAAACATCCCGGACACTTATTTAGGATTTTATTTTTTGAAAATTTTTTAAAATTAGATTTTATTATGACTTGGTGGGGTAGACCACAATTAAAGTGGGATACATTTTACATGTTTTGGCTCTACCATAAATTTTAGCATGACTTAAGAAAATAACAGAAATGCATACATGCCTGCATTCTGTAAGGACTGTGCTATCCTTTGGTTCAATGAAATTAGCATGGGAAGAGAGCAGTTCCATTTTTTTACCCTTTCATATATTCTATTAGAAATCATTTTTTCCAAACTAAGAAACTAACACAAGAATCCTATGTGGCTATCAATTGAAATCAGTACAGATTTCACTTCGGTTAGTTTAAAAAGCATTGCTACATTTTTAGATAAGCAGTGAAACTGAAATAAAAAGTTTCTCAGAGAAGATATTTCTAAATGAAGTTAGATCACGTCAGTGTGTTTAACTCACAGTTTTATGTGGGCTTCAATTAGACATAGAATGTATAAACCTGCAGATGAGATTAACCATACACATAACTTTGAGTTACTTTTCTATGTAACTTCTTTGAACATAACTTCAGATTTTAAAAGTTGACATAGAATTTCCAAAGTTGTGAGCTTTCTAAACTGGTTGGGGAAAATTGTATTGAACTTTTATTCAAAAGTTATTTATATTGAATATTTTACTTTATTTCAAAAGAATATTAGGTACTGCACTATACTGTATACAGGGTAGTATAATAAAATTAATAACTATAATAAAGAAATCAGGTAAAGTGAGAAGTTGTATTGTATTGTATTATGTGATCAGGATAAAAGCTAGGAAGCAAAACTGCTGTCAAATTTTCCTACATAAAGGTAGCTGAATATTACAAGTTCAAATGTCAGGTCCAAATAACCAAAGCAAAGCAAAGCAAAACAAAACAAAACAAAAAAAAATATTTTTATTTCATAACACAAAAGCTGAAAATACATAAAATACACTTAATATACTATTGTGTTAGTAACCTTGATGCAAATACATGACAGACAGTCAGAGAAAGCAATTACTTAAGAAATTGGAGTAAGGCAAAGAGAGATAAGTCCAACCAATCTGTCGAGGTATGCACACATCCAAACGTCTGGGCTGATTCGGAAATAAAATCAAGGATCAAGAACAATGATCTGAAATGCCCTCAGAAGATTTTAGGATATAGTAAATAGTAAATGTATAAAATTCCCTGCTGCAATACAGTGTTGAAAGGTGAAGACTGTAACAAATATTACAGCACATAGTTCGCTGTTAAAAACAATAAACACTGGGTGTCCAAAACCAAAACCTAAAAACGAAATCGAAACCAAGCAGATGTGGAAGGAAAATGATGCTCTCAGACTTACAGCATTCTCCTGTATCCAGATATTCAGAGGAATATCTGGGGTATAACTCAAAAAAGAATTCAAGGTTATAGTTACTAATCAAATTCCTTAGTCTACATATATTCTGTTTTTCAATTAGGGGAGAATCCTCCACTTAGCAATGTACATGTGATTTATACGGCTGTCCCATTAAATTAATTGTACCAATTGAGAACAATTTACACAAATGTTTTACGGAACCATCATCGAAATTAATATGTCATGATATATATTACCTTTTGTTTTTCCCTACATACCTTCTCAAATTTCCCCACATTCAGTTTGATAAGGACTTTGGCAGCAATCTACATTTAATTTTAAACTTGCAGAAAATTGGGTTCTAAACGTGTAAGTTATACGTCAGCAACAAAGCATTATTTATGATTCTTAAGAAACAACTGTGACTTTGAGTCACAAATCATAGAGCTATTGAAACTCCCAGCTGGAAGGAACCTTGGAGACAATCTAACCGTTTTATTCATGAAGAAATAGCTAACTAGAGATCAAGAAATTGACAAATGGCTTTGCAGTTTAATAGTGAAGGCAGGATTAGAACTCGAGTCTCCTGACTCCAAAATGAAAACTTCACCACTATCTTCCACTATGACTTTTGCTTCTCATAATATATAACAGATTAACAACAGAGACTTTTTTTTGTATTGTGGTCTGCTAGATATGTGTTAAAAGGTTCTACTGAACTGAATATATTAACTCTAAAAAATGTTGGTTTTCTCTTATAGTAAGTTATCACAATGTTGATAGTGTTTTAATAACTGCAATATGTTTTTTGAATATTTGGATGGGAAAAAGACAAATTTTTTCTTCATACGGTAGAATCACATATTGATTTGGAATAACATACTCCTAAAGTCAAAACCAAATTATTAGTACTTTTTTCCCCCGAATTTAGTTATTTAATATTTCAGGTAAATTTATAAAGGGATTGTGAAAGTATGGAATGTGGGAGTGTGGAATTTACAAAGAATAATTTCAGAAAAGCAATAGTGTAAAGTCACTAGCTAACGTGTTTTTCTCCCTTTATTGTTTAAAAAAAAGTTTCTAAACCTCAAATATTTCAATAACTTGTGTCCTAATCTTAAAAGTCCATCTTCTTACTGGAAGATTTGATGAACTAACTTCTGCTAAGTATAGATTCAGGTGTTTCCTTGTTTGTTCTGGTAATTTAGCTTTTAAAATTTATGTATTCTTGTAAAAAACTGTTTAAAATTCAAAAGTAAAAATAACAGAGAATAGTGGAAAATAATTTTTCCTTCTGCTGAGACCTCAAACTAATTATCCTCCTTGTATCAAACACTGATTTAGGTTTTTGATTATACTTTTAGAAATATTTTATGCACTTATAAGCATATGTATTCATTTATTTTATATATATACATACACATATATACTATATATATAATATATATACATACACACACACACTTGAGATAGGATCTTACTCTTTCTACAGGCTGGAGTGCAGTGGAGTGATCGTGGCTTACTAAAGCCTCAATCTCCTGGGTTCAAGTGATCCTCCATGTCAACCTCCCAAGTAGCTGGGACCACAGACATGCACCAACATGAGTGGCTAATTTGTTTTTTTTGTTTGTTTGTTTGTTTTTTTTTTTAGAGATACAGGTCTTTCCCAGGGTGGTCTCAAACTCCTGAGCTCAACCAGTCCTCCCAACTCAGCCTTCCAAAGTGGTGGGATTACAGGCATGAGTCACCACACGTCTTATTTTATATGTTAAAGAAAGCATTCACTAATATTCTGTCCTTAATATTTATTGTACCAAAAGCCACTTTGGAAAGAAAAAAGTCTGATCTATCCTTTTTGGTAACAGATACTAAGTTTCTTTGTCATATTTTAACAAGTCTATATGTGCTCCTGATTACCTTGTATGTGCAAGGTAATGTAAGACATACAGAAAAAAATCAGGCACAGTGACCACCATAGAGAAGAACACTGACAAAACCTGATATCGTTCTTAATTCTATTTCCAAAAGTATTACCAAAACACTGGTTTGATACTAGGAGACCCTCTGTTCTCACACATTTTCTTCTGACATTAAAATAAAAATGCCATTTGGACAAAATTTACTAAATGTTTTGGGATTTAGCTACATGTTTCTAAAATTGTTGTTGCTTATTTTTTTTACTAGGTTTGTTGAAGACTTAAAAACTAATTTTGATAATATTCATATGGCAAATAAGCAGTCTGATGTATTTCTCTCCTCCTTAATGCAAAGCTCCTCTAATAAAGCAATCTCTTTTATTAAGCCCAAATTCAAAATCTTAGTTGATTCAGTTATGTATTCGCTATTTGTATGTTCATGAGAATCATACAGAAGCTTAGAAATGATATTATTATTATCTAGAGTAGACTGACTATAAAATATTAATTCCCTTACTCAAGTAAAGAATGTAGCCAAATAAATGCCACTCATACATTTTCATTGGCGATTGAAATCCCTATTTCAGTGACTATTTCAGTGGCTATTCTTAAGGAGATTTGGAGAGAGGGCTTACACTACACTAACTTGTGGTTAGTGTTCTTATTAATGCCTAATATCAGAACTCTTTCTGAAGGGGAAAAACATTTTGATAAGTGTTGAAAAGTGTTCCATTAAAGTAAACAAACTTTAATAAGATGCAATTAAAGAGGTGCTGGAAACGAGAGGTATTAACTTTACCTAAAACTAGTCCATTTTCTTAAATCAAAATGGTGTTTATGAGAATACTGACTCGTGGAAATTTAAATAATGTCTTGCTATAAAAAGTTTGAGAATAGTTAAACCCTGTTAGACTGGCTACTTTATTTCCATATTTGCAATTTAATTTAATAAAGCTATTTTGCACTGTATCCTCTATAATCAGGATTAGTATTTTCCAAACTAATTTAAGAATTATTTTGTTATTCTAGGGTGTCTTGTGGGATTAACGCTCCTAGAATGCACTTCCACACAGTGTTTTTAGCTACTAAAAACCTGGATTTTAGCTACAGTATCATGCCGTGGGCAAATAATGCATGGTACCCTGAGGGCTTCAACTGTGATTTTTATGGACCATCTCTCTTTGCCTAGGTCAATGACTAACAGGTATTTGAGAATTCTTCCAGTGAACCTAGGGGAGAAAATTGTTGGTTTACCCTTGCTCAGATACCACAGAGAGCCTTTTATTTTAAGAACCTTGGCACCTTTTGTAAATACAATTGGCAGTTGGAAGAATGAAGTGTATTAAATGTAAAGATTGTTTTCTAGCCACAGGGGTCTAGGCCAAGCCACTGGAAGGATTAGTATATCATATTTCTTCAGACATTTGCTTCAGTGTTTTATCATTCTCAGTCACTTGCTTTCCCAAAGCAGAAAGAACAGAAGGAGAAGTAATTAAATACAATTTCTTCCTCCTCTACAGGAAACCAAGATGACAATGGCAATTTGTTACCTTCTGGAAATAAAGGAGCAATTAAGGGAGAAATAAATCTTCAAGGATTTTCCTAAATCTTTAACTCGTTTTACAGCAGCCTATTACCAAGTGCTACTGTGTATATTGGCTTCATTTGGAACATTGTCTTACCTATATTTGACACTTAATAACTTTGGTGATTAATTGATTGACTGAACAACCACTGGCAAAAAGAGTAATAAGACGTAAAAAGTAATCGTTGAGCACATTTTAAGACAACGTGATTAATGTTCTTTGTAGAAACTTAAGAGGATCCAACAGTCCACATTCATAGAAATATTGTAAGAAACAGATGAAATAAAGATTTATGAAAAGGCTAGTGTTTTCTGTATTCAGGCTCTTACTTAGTTACCTAGGTGTATGTAGTGTGTCCCTGCCTCATTGATGACATCAAAACTGCATTCTTGTACTCAGTTCTGCTAATAAAACCTAAACTTGTTTTGCTCTGTCTGAAACTTGATCTTGGTCATCTATGTAGTATTCTCTAGTATTGATTATGCCTTTTTTGCTTATCTACCTTTCTTTCAATTAGAGTTCATGGTTAGAATATTACATCATATTAAAGATATTTTTTAAAATTAAATGAAATACATGTCAGAAATGCTTGGTTATAAACACACAATTACATCACAGGTGATAAAACGGATAATGTTGGAACAATGTACATAAGTTATTTAATATTTGGGGTTTATATGTTGTGAAATTTAATCACAAATAAGCATTTAATTATAATAACCTATATACTTTTTATTAAAACTTTATTTTTATATTGATATAAAGATGTAGAAATAATAGTAGCTATAACTCTTGCTGTTTCTTGGTATTTTCTGAGTATCCTTTTCATATTTGTACAAGCAAAGGACATTTAGACTGCAATTATTGCTAACTATATATTAGCACCAAACACTACTATTTTTGAGAATACTTTATGAGAAGCTATCTTTTGTAGCCACCTTCCTAATCTTCTACTTCAATTACACTTTTAAAAAGGTGTACCAAACATCAAAATATTTACATTTCACATCTCAGATGCAAAATTTTATCTTATTTTCTTTAAACCAAGATACTCAACGAGTAGACTAGAGATCCATGGGGCTGGTTGGCATCTTTTTGAGGAGTCTTCAAAGGCAAAACAATTTCTAAATATTAATAAGATTTTTTTTTACCCACTACCATTCTCTCATGAGTATATAGTCACAATTTTCTAAGGATTTAGAATGTGTGAAGATTTCATATAATAAAACATTTTAATATATGAATACCTACATAACACAGTGACTAATATTTTCCAAATGACAGATGCATGATGTTACAAAGTCATTCAAGGTAAGAGATGCCATCAAATTACAAGATTGAAGCGTGCATTTTTGGAAACAATACAAAAAGTTTTTGTTAAGTGGTTTCAGATTTCTCATTGAAGCTACCTTTAAGAAACTACCACTTGATGAGATTTGGTATAGTATTGTAGAGGTCAAGAAAAAACTTCCCTTTTGTTCTCCGAAAGTTTGCTGAAAATCACTGGCAAAAGGCAGATTAACAGGAGAAAAGGCCTACAAATTTATTAACATGTACCTGGGAGCCTTTAGAATGAAAATCTAAAGATACATGGGAAATTGTGCATTTTAATGATTGGGTTCGGCAAAGCGTAGACAGCCGTGTAAAAATATGATTAGACATAAAAAGCGTAATCAAATGTTAACAGACTGAGTGGGGAAACCCAGCAATACTTGCCTATCTAGATTCTTCTTGTCCTCTCTGAGCACGTATTGTGTCCCTCTGGGTATGGGACAGGACCTTTTGATAAGGGTTTTATGAACTACAGTCAAACAAAGAAGGTCAAATAATTTCTTTATGACCAGTTTTTACACAGAAAGGCAGAGGGAAAGTTAGAATAATATTTTTAAGTTTTATGGCTGGCTATGGGGAAATGGAGTTGCCATTTCTATTACCTGCTTAGAGAAAGAGAGATTGTACTTTCTACTCTAGCTTAGGTGGACAATAGGACTGACAGGCAGGAGAGCAGGAGAAGGTCAGAGAAAAGTTTTGGCTTCTGAGGCAAAATATATATAGATAGATAGATAGATAGATTTTTTTTTTTTTTTTTTTTGAGATGGAGTCCCACTCTGTCACCCGGGCTGGAGTGCAGTGGTGCGATCTCGGCTCACTGCAACTTCCGCCTTCATGTTCAAGTGATTCTCCTGCCTAAGCCTCCTGAGTAGCTGGGATTACAGAAGCTCGCCACCACACCAGGCTAATTTTTGTGTTTTTAATAGAGACGGGGTTTCATCATGTTGGCCAGGCTGGTCTCAAACTCCTGACCTCAAGTGATCTGCCTTCCAAAGTGCTAGGATTACAGGCATGAGCCACTGCGCGTGGCCGGGGCATTGTTTTTGAGTCCCAACAGCACCTGAGAATAATATTTTCTGTTTGAAAAGGCTACTAAATACCCCTTTGTATTTCAACTATAAATCTTGGAAGGCTACATTTATTTCCCATAATCCAAGAAAAAGACTTGTTGTAAAAGATTGAATGCAGAAGCAGATGTGAGAATCTAGGTGTCTTTCATTAAGGTAGATTTTTTCCCACTATTGTTTGGAAAATATTATTTTTTTCATTAAACTATGCTATTTATACTAATAAATAGCAGATCTAGTATTATCTTTAAATTAATTAATAAGTAGTTATGAAATTCACAATTTAAGTTTTCATCTAGTTAATATTGATATGTATAGCCCACATAAAGAAAAGTTCTTTGTGGTCCTAAATAACTCTTAAGAATGAAGAAAATATACTGTAACCAAAAAGGTCGAGAAATGCCACCTTAAAAAAAAGTCATCATGCAAATCAAGAAATTGGACACGTGCATATCCTTATTCTAATGTGGCTACTTCTCTTATATTTAATCCACATGATTGTTTACATTCAAGCCTTTGTGGATTATTACTCTCTGTAAGGCTTCTGTGCATCTTCCTTTCAAAAAGAATTTTCAAAAATATACCTTTATCCTTTGTTAGTTTGTGTTGTAGGAATTCAGATTTCCAAAGTACTGAGAAATCTTCTAATTTTAAGCTCCACACATATTTATGTCCCTGGAAAGTATGCTTTTTAATCTCATTCTTCGAGAAAATTATCTCTGCTTTCCTTATTACTTGGCTTCTGCATGCCTTGTTTTATGCATACTTTTTGATATGGTTTGGCTGTGTCCCCACCCAACTCTCATCTTGAATTGTAGCTGCCATAATCCCTATGTCTTATGGGAGGGACCCGGTGGGAGATAATTGAATTGTGGACGGTTCCCCCCCATACCGTTCTCATGACACTGAAAAAAATCTCACAAGATCTGATGAACTTATAAAGGGAAACCCTTTTGACTTGGTTCTCATTCTCTCTTGTCTGCTTCCATGTAAGATGTGCCTTTTGCCTTCTGCCATGATGGTGAGGCCTCCCAAGCCACGTGTAACTGTGAGCTCATTAAACCTCTTTTTCTTTGTAAATTACCCAGTCTCGAGCATGTCTTCATCAGCAGTGTAAAAATGGACCAATACACTTCTTTAACCACTCATCAATCAAAAACTAAAGAAAATAATTTCAAGGAGGAACACAACTCAGACTGTGTCTTTCTGAATAGCAATGTCTGCCTGATTCTCCCTTGGAGATGGCAGAAGACACTTAAAAGCATTTTTTTTTCCTGCTAGCTTCACAGCATCTGCAAATCACACAGTTGTTACTTTTTACCACCCAAGTCTTCTCCATAAATTTTAGAATCAATTGGCGAGAAGAAGGATCATAGGTAATAAGTTCTTTTATATGAATATTTGACCAGATGCCTTGGGATTCATAATACTTGATATTTAGTGCTTTGTGACTGCAAGTTAAGCCAAAATTTAATACAATCAAATAGATCATTCAATTTAGGCAAAAAAATTTCAGATTTTTTTTGTGAATTTGATCACATGGGCTGTGTATTTCAAAACTGCTCCTCTGTAATTTTATATCAGCTAATGGAGACTTTATATAAACTGCTACCAACTATAAAGGCTCAAATTTAAAATGACACTAAAAAGTTAATGATTTTCTCCAAAATGAGTACAGAACAGAAAAACAAATCCTGTGAATAGAAATGACACTTATAAAGAAATATAGGAATAAAGCTAAATTAACTCACTAAAGAACTACTAAGGGTATTTGAAAAAGATAAAGAATATAAATAAAGAGGTTGAAAAAAAGTAATTTAACATGATTTTAGAGGTAAGAGAGGTTAAAAAAACTGGTAAGTCAAATTTAATAGTAAAATGTTAGCAAGTCCTTCAACTAACAGTTTACTTGTGAATTGGTCAACATTGATGTTTGTTGTTGTTTGCTTCTTTTACTTCCAGAAAAACCAGGATGTAAATTAACAAATATTAAATATTTTGAGCACTGAAGTCCTATTAGTTTTCAGTATTTTAGGATCAAAAGGCACTTCTAATATATTTAACTTGGAAACTCTATAGTTATCTTTTAATACCTGAGAAACCCGTGACCCATGAGCTCCAAAGTCAAAATGTGGATGCCTGGCTTTTACTCTTACTCATAGTTCATTGTTCTACATTTTACTAAAATTATACATTGGCATAAAGTTTTAGTAAATAAAAAATAAGCTGGTAGAAGAAATAAATGGACAAAAAGTGGCCAAATAAAGAGAATAGTGGTTTTTTTACAAAACTAAACATGCAACTATCATGCGTTCCAGCAATTGCACTTTTGAGAATTTACCTCATAGAATAATAAAACTTAAGTTCATGCTAAAACCTGTATATAGATGTTTATCGCAGCTTATTTCTAGTAGCCCAAATTGGTAACAATCCATACAAGTTAATGGTTACACAAGCTGTGCTACATCCCTACCATGGAGTACTATTCAACAATACAAAGGAACATACTATTAATACTGACAAACATTATCTTTTTGACCAACTCTAGCCAGGCTCCTTTGAGTTCTCTTTCAACTAGACCTAAACCTTGGCCTATGAAGATTTGAGCAAAACAGTAACATAGTTTAGTTTCTAACAGCTAAAGTTACATCCCTAAAATGACCCTAACTCTCCTTAAATATCACCTGAGAAAACTGAAGGCTGAGAGACAGGGGCTAATATTAAAGACAAGTTCCCTGTCTCCCAGTCTCTGTTGGAGGACAGGAACATAACTTCCATTAGCAGCAGTTAACAGACTAAGATGGGTTTCACATAGAATAACTCTCTTCTCCCACTGTTGTAATGTTTCACTTCCCTAACCCTACTGAGTCCCTCTTCCTTATTCTGTCATTCCCTCTTTAAAGTCCCAATCACCTGTCTATACAAATTGCATGTCAGTTCATGCTGAACTCTTTTTGATATTGCAATAGTAGCTTACTGATTAAAATCTATCCTTGCTACTTTAACTCATGTCAGGCTTTGTTTATCTTTGACAATATATCTAACAGTCTGGATCATGAACAAAGCAGGAGCACTGTCATCTCAGACAAACACCGCCACTTTTAAGTTCCAGCTCCCTTTCTAGCCTCATGCATTTCAAGGAAATCACTTCTCTTCTGACTACAAGCAGACAGAAAGAGCAGAGAGTAAAACACAGATAAGACAGCTGGGGCACAGAGGGAGGTTGGGGGAGAGTCTCTTGGGTAACTTCCAAACTTCACCCTCATACAATGGGCCCCAGTAAAACAGCGGGCCTTAATAAACACATGCCTTTCCCTTCAGATGCACTAAGATAGGGAAGCTAAAAGCAGACTCAGGGGATATGCCTGCAGCTGCAGGAAGATGTATGCAGACAGACACATAACTCTCCCTCCCAGATAAGCACAACAAAGAGACACAGAAGCAGTCCAAGCCTCTGATAAACTCTCCCACCCTGAATCCTTAAAAACTCTTAATCTGGGCCGGGGCGTGGTGGCTCATGCCTATAATTTAGCACTTAGGGAGGCCAAGGCAGGCAGAATACGAGGTCAGGAGTTTGAGACCAGCCTGGCCAACATGGTGAAACCCCGTCTCTACTAAAAATACAAAAAATTAGCCTGGCATGGTGTCGTGCGCCTGTAGTCCCAGCTACTCAGGAGCCTGAGGCAGAAGAATCACTTGAACCAGGGAAGCCGAGATTGCATTTAATGGAGATTGCACCACTGCACTCCAGCCTGGGCAACAGAGTGAGATTTCGTCTCAAAAAAAAAAAAAAAAAAAAAAAACAAACTCTTAGTCTGTAAGAGAGTGTGGCTCTGACCTAACTCAGCCAGCTGCCCCCTCAGGTTTATTTAAAATAAGCCTGTCCCTGTTGACTGAAAACCCACCCTTCATGTTTCTCTCCTCTTTCTTTAATTTTTACAGATCACCCTCCAGCGAATTATGCTGAGTGTAAAAAAAAAAAAAAACCCAATAGATTATATACTGTAAAATTCTATTTGTATAACATTCTTGAAAAGACAAGATTACAGAAATGGAGAACAAATTCGAGGTTTCTGGGGGTTAAAGTCAAGGTGTGTGGGGACGGGTGGAACGGAAGTAAGTGTGGTTATAAAAAGGCAAGATACACGACCCCTGTGGTGATGGAATTGTCATGCATCTTGACTGTATCAAAGTCAAAGCCCTAGCTTTGATATTCTACTACAGTTCTGTAAGATGTTACTATGGCGAAAACTGAGTAAAGTGTATACTATATTTTTCCGTATAATTTCTGTAACTTTTTACAAACATATAATTAACTCAAAGAAAAAATAAAAGTACATTTATGTCATTAGAAAATTTATAGAGCTATATATTTAAAATGTATGATAGATTTTCTCCAAAATTTATTCCATTATGTGTATCTTTTTTTTTACAATTTCCCAGTTGTGAAATTACATTAAAAGCATTGTTTCTCTCAAAAGCTTTTACTATAAATGTCAAGCAACTTCTTTGTTGTTACTTAAAACCTAAGCATATGATGTATATTACCTCTTGAAGAGGTAATGCAACATGAAAATGTTTAATAGATATGTGATATTGAATGTTACTTAACTTCTCTAAACCTCTTGAATCAAGTCAGTAACGCGGGATAAATGTACCTAATACCATAACATACATCTTTGAGGAAAGAATGACATGTTTATAAGGCATATATATATGCCATATATATACATATATATATATACATATATATGGCATATATATATAAGGCATATATATGTATATATATACACGCAATGTGTATATATATATACACGCAATGTGTATATATATATACACGCAATGTGTATATATATATACACGCAATGTGTATATATATATACACGCAATGTGTATATATATATACACGCAATGTGTATATATATATACACGCAATGTGTATATATATATACACGCAATGTGTATATATATATACACGCAATATGTATATATATATATATACATGCAATGTGTATATATATATATATATATATATACACATTGTCACATGGCAAAACTCAAAACTCAGTAGTTACAAGTACTGTAACTACTATTTATAAATGAGCTTCATTTATTTGAAAATGAAAATCAGACTAGGAAGCAATTAATTTACCGAATTATTTCAAAAAATTATTAGCTGTGTGTGTGTGTGTATATGTGTGTGTGTGTGTATATATATATGTATATATATTTATTTATATGTTTTTATTCTAGGAAGAACATAAATCATTCTTATTCTAGGAACAGAACATAATATTTCCAATCCACTAAAAGAATTCTCCATAGTATAATGTTAACTTGCCTACCAGTGAGCATTCAAATGATTGAGAATGATACTTTATAATCTACTAACAATCTATTGCAAATAGAGTATTCTGTTGTGAAAGTATTCTATAAATGAATAAGAGATATATCTCTCTGATTACTCTTCTGTATTCTTTTCAAGAAAATTCCAGTTTGACTGAGATATAATTAACAAAATGTGTATATATTTAAGGTGTATGATGTGATGATTTAATACATATATACATCAAGCTAATTAACATATTATCACCTTACATAATTATTATTGTGTGTGTTTGTCTCTGTGTGTGTTTGTGGTAAGAATGCTTAAGATCTACTCTCAGCAAATTTCAAGTATGCAATACAATATTACTAGCTACAGTCACCATGCTGTATATTAGACTCCCCAGAATTTATTTGATTACAACTGTAAGTTTGGAACCTCTGACTAACCCCCAGCCCTTAGCAACAACCATTCCACTCTCTGTTTATTTGATGTTGTTTTTAGATTTCACATAGAAGTGAGATCATATGGTATTTGTCTTTCTTTACCTGGCTTCGTTCACTTAGCATAATGTCTTTTAGATTTATCCATGCTGATGCAAATGGCAAGATTTTCTTCTGTTTTTGACTAAATAATATGCACTGAATATACAGATGCTCCTCAATTTATGATAGGGTTATGCCCCATTAAACTCATCATAAATCAAAAGTATTTTAAAGTCAGAAATGCATTTAATACTGGCAGCACAGCAAACGGTCTTCAACTTAGAATAGTTCACATTACGATTTTTTTTTGTTTTATGATGATGCAAAAGCAATATTCAGTAGAAACTATCAATTCTTTGTAAGTCATAGGAGGCCTGGAACTTATAATAGGGTCATATCCAGATAAACTCATCCTAAAGTGAAAAATTCATAAGTAAAACCATTGTATCTACCAAATATTCTCTATTTATCTGTCCACAGATACTTTGATTGTTTTCATATCTTGGCTACAGTGAATAACACTGCAGTGAACATGGGCGTGCAGATATCTTGTAGAGATGCAGATTTTATTTACATTGGGTATAGAGATGCTCCTCAATCTACAATGGTGATACATCACAATAAACCTATGGTAAGCTGAAAATATTGTAAGTCAAAACTGCATTTAATACACCTATCCCACCGAACATCATAGTGTAGGATAGCCTATCTTAAATGCAGTTGGAACACTTACATTAGCATGGAAGGCTGGGAGCTGGAGTTCATTGCTACTACCCAGCATCATGAGAGAGTATCATGTGGCATGTTGCTAGCTGGGAAAATGTCAAAATTCAAAATTTCAAGTATAGTCTCTACTGAATGCATATTGAATTCATATCATGGTAAAGTTACAAAATTATAAGTTGAACCATCATAAGTCTGACCAGTCTGTATATCTAGAAATAGAATTGCTGGATCATGTGGTACTTCTATTTTTAATTTTTTTAGGAACTTCCATACTGTTTTCCACAGCAGCTATGCCAATTTACATTTTATCCAATAATACTTAAGAATTCTCTTCTCTGCAAACCTTTGCAAACATTTGTTATAAATTGTCTTTTTGATAACAGTCATTCTAACAGATGGGATATCTCACTATGGTTTTAATTCGCATTTCCTTGATGAATAGAGATGGCGAACACATTTTTATTTGTTCTATAGATCCATTTTTTTCTATAGTGTTATTCAAATATGCTATTTCCCTATTGATTTTCTGTCTGGATGATCTATCCATTGATGAAAGTGGGGCATTCAAATTCCATACTGTTACTGTATTGCTGTCTATTTCTCCTTTCAGTTATGTTAATATTTGCTTTATATATGTTATTGCTCCAATGTTGAGGGCGTATATACTTAAAATTATTATATTCTCTTAATGATTGGCCTCTTTATCATTATATAATGATCTTCTTTGTCTCTTGTGACAGATTTGACTAAAAATCTCTTTAGTTTTATATAAGTATAGCCATGACTGCTCTATTTAGTTTACCCATTTGCATAAAATAACATTGCTAATCCCTTCACTTTCAGCCTATGTGTGTCCTTAAACCAAAGTGAGTCTTCCATAGGCAGAATACTATTGGATGTTTTTAAATTACTTATCCACCATTTCTTTTGATTGGAGAATTTAATTCATTTGCATTAAATTACTGTTAGGTAAAGATTTATGATTACTATTTTGTTCATTGTTTTTTGACTGATTTGTAGTTTCTTTGTTCTTTTCTTTCTCCCCTGTTGTCTTAATTGTGATTTGTTGATTTTTTGTAGTGGTATATTTTGATTCCATTCTAATTATCTTTTGTGTATCTACTTGAGAATTTTTATTTGTGATTATCATGAGATTTACATAAAACATAGTTATTACAGTCTATTTTAAACTGATAACAACTTCAACTTTGTCTTTCACAGTTTTAATGTTATGTCTCAGAGTAATCTTTTTTGGGTTGATCCTTTTTTGGGATCCATTAGCTTCATGAATCTGAACATTCATATTCCTCCTAAGATTTGGAAATTTTTTTTAAATAAACTTTCTCCCACTTTTTCTCCCTCTCCTCCATCAAGAACTTCCACAAGGAGTTTATTCACTAGTTTGTTGGTGTTTCACAGGTGTCATATATTTTCTTCATTTTTTTCTTTCATTTTTCTATTTGTTCATCTAAGTAGCAATTTTCTTTTTTAAAGTCTTTAAATTAAAAAATTAATAATATCTTTATGTATAAACCATAATTGTAGAAGTTCTGGAATACAATGTGATGTTTTGATAAGTGTATATAATACTGCATTCTTAAATCAAGTAAATTAACACGTCCATCACCTTGCTTACCTATCGTTTTTTATGAAAATACATCTGAAATTTACTATCTTTGTTATTTTGGAATATATAATGCATTATAGACATTTCACAGGGCGATAGACATCAACACCAATTATTTCTGTCTATCTGAAACTTTGTACTCTTTGATGAACAACTTGTTTCCTTTTTTTGCAACCCCCTACCCCCAGCTTCTGGTAACCATGATTTAATCTCTATTTCCATGAGTTCAACCTTATCAGATTCCATATAGAAGGCGAATCATGACAATGCTAATCAAGGTAGAAAAGTTGATTAACATTGCTTAAGGCCAACATCTATACACTAGTCTCTATTGTAGTAACACATGCTCAATTGCATTTTTTCCCTACAATAATGTTTTGAGGATAGTAATGTCATCTCCTGTTATAAACAAATAAAATTTAAACCTGGATGTAGAATCAAAGCCCACATTCTTTTCACTATACCCTGAACCTACTAAACTGTTCCAGTTCTACAGTCTCAGGCCAACATACTCTCAATTATTCTTCTATGCTGCCACCTACCCCAAAACACTGCTGAAAACTGGCGTACATGTAAAAACCTTTTTTTTTTTTAGCAGCATTTCTAAAAATAGCTACCTTGTAATTCAAAGCTACTTTCTTATTCTTTATTACCATGAAATTGAAATCAGTTAAAGAACCTCCTCACCAAATATTTAGTACTGAAGAAAAAGTATATAGAGTAAATAATTCGGAAATATCGGTTTACTTTGTGGGCACTATTCTTCTGGCCCAAGGTTTTTGAGTTCAGAAGAGATTTGGTACAAAATGAAAGGAGAGACAAGGGATGGTTATATTTAAGTAAATAGCTCCTTCCTCTGTAATTCCATAGTGCCACACTTCCAATACAGTGGCCACCAGTCTCTTGTAGCTACTAAGCCCTTGAAATGTGGGTATAAGAATTGGAAAGTCTTAGTATGTAAAAGAATGTAAAATATCTCATTAATGGTGTTAATTATAATTATACATTGAAATGATATTTTGGATATTTGACTTATGTTCTTAAATGTATTGCACCTATTTCATTTTACCTTTAAGAAACCACTAACAATTTTAAAATTGCATACATATCTTGCAATAGATTTCTCTTGGTGGGTAATTTCATACTGCTTTATCCATATCACTTGTAAATATCCATCTTATTGTAGGATGAAATATTGCATGTATTTGTTTCTGATACCTCAGAAAGCACTGAGGTATTGGAGTCATTGTCCATAGCTTATTTATTATTCCCAAAGCACAGCTGTATGACTGGCACACAGTGGACATTCAATAAATGCTCTTGAAGTGGTTTTTGATTAGCTTCACTTTTAAAATAACAAAATAAATTTAAACATCAATTAAGGCAATTAGTTAACTTGCATGAAAACATTTTCTAATACAACTTTACATTGTTGTTTTTAAACAGATGAAACTAAAATTTTAAGTTTAATTACTGACTTCCATTAAGTAGTAATTTTATGTGAAATGTCTCAACCTTTGCTGGATTATGCATATGTCCTCCCATTGCCACTCTACTACACTCCATTGCTTTAAAATTACTTTTATAAAATGACCTAGATTTAGAGAAATCATTCACCCAGAAAAGAATGCATCACGGAACTCTGAAATGTAGAGTAGGTTGATCTTAGCGCACTGTTTAGAATAAAACAGAAAGGTATAGGCAAGAGTAACAGATTTGGATTTCAGTATTGTGAATTTTTGTTACAAAAATAAAATTACAATTCATATTGAATATTGTAAATATCTCAGAATTTAGAAAAACAAATGGCTTTTTACAGAACATTTTTTATTAAAAACTGCTACAACCATCCAAGCTATGAACAATATGTGAAGACACGTTTCATTCCCTAGGTAAGTTATTCTCATCATAATTTTTATAATAGTGAAAGTCACTAGATAGATAAATAATCTGAGAATGAGCATTTATTCAAGGTTGAGGCTTGTATATATTAAACACTTTAAATTGTTCACTTCTCATATAAATCATATGTTATCAAAATATTCATTGCAATATTCCTAAATTTTTAAAGTATTTCTGCTTATAAGGAAGTCTACTTTTGGCTTACATGTATTTCTTCTTGTAAGTTGAAAGACTCTTTTATTTATGACATATTAAACAATTTCAAACTCTATCTAAACTTCCAAAACCCAAAGATATATAAACTTTGCAATTTGACAGACAATGTAATTTTTCTTGAACTGAAATACATTCAGGAATATAGCACGTTCTTTTAAAGTATTTTCATTTTATGGAATCAAAGTAACTCCTAAATCTGTCTTCATAATTTTACTATTCATCACTGCAGAATTAAGGTGAAATCAATAATGTGGTGGCAGCAAGTAGCACAGAAGATCAGAGAGAAGCAAACTGAAACTGACACCTTTAGCATTTGTGTGACTGACAGCATTCTGCAAAATAGCTAATCATCCTGAGAAGACTCTATTTCATGAAAATGAGTCATTAGATTGAGAGTTGTCAGGATCAATAAATGTGCATTTTAAATGTATAGTTAACCTAATTTCATATGCAATTTGTTTAAAATTATTTCCTTCTCAGATATTCAGTATCCCTCACTTAATGGTGTTACTAAATTATAATGAATGACTGTGGACTGGAATAGGTTTTTGCTACTAATAGACAAGACAGTGGTTGTATTTGACTAATAAATTAGCTATTAAACTTTCTAAGCATTGACTTATAATAGATAATCAACACAATTCTATTTTTTTCATTTCATATAGTAAAAAGTATCATTATTCTGAAGTTTAAGACAAATTCATCTGTGTATATCCAATACGTAGAAAACAGGATATGCTTGATAAATCTTTGTGGATTTAGTGGATGGGAAAATTCAAAATATTCTTAACATTTTTAGCCAAATACTTACACAGTAATTTATTTTTTATTTGTCATTTAAGGTTCAACTAGCCCCAGAATGTAATTAATATTTCCCTCTGCTTCCTTAATATCTGGCAAGGCTTCCTTTTAATACTTTTTTCTTTAGCACAACACCTTATTGTGAGACTCTTTCTACCATACAAAATCACTGTTATAC
Organism: Homo sapiens; assembly: GCF_000001405.40. Taxonomy (NCBI): domain Eukaryota; kingdom Metazoa; phylum Chordata; class Mammalia; order Primates; family Hominidae; genus Homo; species Homo sapiens. The sequence continues at coordinate 55,526,576 of NC_000010.11, forward strand.
ATGAGTGCTTTCCATCAAGCAATGTTTTCTCATTCTCTACTCGAGTGCATCTTTGCACCACTCTGCTATTGATTTGGGGTCTTTGACAGACTATCACACTCAAACAACACAATCAGGTTTATAATTTATGCTTGTGACTGTGTCATTAAAACTTGTCAGTAAATATTTTCAAACTTGCCATTTCCTAATTAGAGATTCACAGGGGAACACTTGTAGAATTCAAAGGAATGGACTTTCAACTTCTCAGAGTAGGTATTAGGTCACAAAAGCCATATCATTCAAATGAATTAGACATTGCTAAAATTCTTCTATTATTACTGCTAGGTTATATTTATAGGCAACGTCATGAAGTGGCAGTACAAATCTGTATCAGTTGTCTATACACTGCCTAGCTGTTTTTATTATGTATAAAGAAGAGCTACTGTCCCTGGCAAGCATTGCTTAAATTAGTATAAATGTGATTGGTCTATTTGCACTTCAGTTGAATTAAAGGAGCTAGATGGAAATTTTTTCCTACCTTGTTAAAATTTGCAGCAGCAAGAAAATAAAGAAAGAATGGGTTAATTTTATAGGTGACATTGCCTCTGGTGCATGTGTATATTCGTTTCTTATGACTGCCATAACAAAGTACAACAGATTGAGTGGCTTACAAAAAGAGAAACATATTGTCTCACAGTTCTGGTGGCTAGAAATCCAAGGTTAAGGTGTCAGCCAGAATGGTTCCTTCTGAAGGCTGTAAGGAAGAATTTGCTCCATGCCTCTTGCCTACCTTCTGGTGGGTCACTGGTGATCTTGTAGATTGAGCTTCATCTTCATATAGCATTCTTCCTATGGAGTGTCTATGTCCAAAGTACTCCTTTTTTAAAAAATAAAAACTCCATTTATGTAGATTAGGGTCGATTTACTCCAGGATGACTTCATCTTAAGGAATTACATCAGTAACTACTTCCAAATAAGGTTATATTCTGAGTTTCTAGGTGTAAGGACTTCAATATATAATATTGTAAGGGACTCAGTTCAACCAATAATAATATGAAAGTATGAATATACATGAATTTTGTTTTCTTTCTTATTAAGTCAAACTTAATATCAAATTTAATATTAAATCAAAAAAGAGAAAGAATAAAAACAAAACAAAAATTTGACTTTTATGTATGACTTAAATTTAATGCTTTGGCACCCTAAAAGTCCTGTCTTCAGCTGTTGTGAATGTACATTTTTAAAGTGCATCCATTATTAAAAAATAAATAAAATATTTGATATTTCAATAATAGGTATTGTTTTTTCTTCTGACAACAATGAGGTAGCTAATTTGCTTCTTTATAAAACCAAGATACACTTCTGAGTGCTTAACAAGTGCCAAGAGAAGTTAATAACATTTTTTGTGGACAGAAGAGAAAGCAAGCTACACTGATATTGGTCTCAACTAGCTGCTACCTGAGTACTTTAGCTTTTACAAAAATTTTTTTTTAATTTTCTCAGACAAGTTCTCACTCTGTTGCCCAAGCAGCAGGGCAGTGGCACAATTGTGGCTCACTCTAGACTTGACCTCCTGGGCTCAAGTGATCCTCCCATCTTAGCCTCTGGAGTGGCTGGGACTACAGGCATGTGCCATCACACTCAGCTAATTTTTTATTTTATTATTTATTTATTTATTTATTTTTATTATACTTTAAGTTTTAGGGTACATGTATACAACGTGCAGGTTTGTTACATATGTATACATGTGCCATGTTGGTGTGCTGCACCCATTAACTGCTCATTTACATTAGGCATATCTCCTAATGCTATCCCTCACCCCTCTCCACACCCCAAAACAGGCCCCAGTGTGTGATGTTCCCCTTCCTGTGTCCAAGTGTTCTCATTGTTCAATTCCCACCTATAAGTGAGAACATGCGGTGTTTGGTTTTTTGCCCTTGTGATAGTTTGCTGAGAATGATGGTTTCTAGCTTCATCCATGTCCCTACAAAGGACATGAACTCATCATTTTTTATGGCTGCATAGTATTCCATGGTGTATATGTGCCACATTTTCTTAATCCAGTCTTTCATTGTTGGACATTTGGGTTGGTTCCAAGCCTTTGCTATTGTGAATAGTGCCTCAATAAGCATACGTGTGCATGTGTCTTTATAGCAGCATGATTTATAATCCCTTGGGTATATACCCAGTATTGAGACGGCTGGGTCAAATAGTATTTCTAGTTCTAGATCCTTGAGGAATCGCCACACTGACTTCCACAATGGTTGAACTAGTTTACAGTCCCACCAACAGTGTAAAACTGTTCCTATTTCTCCACATCCTCTCCAGCATCTGTTGTTTCCTGACTTTTTAATGATTGCCATTCTAACTGGTGTGAGATGGTATCTCATTGTGGTTTTTATTTGCATTTCTCTGATGGCTAGTGATGATGAGCATTTTTTCATGTGTTTTTTGGCTGCATAAATGTCTTCTTTTGAGAAGTGTCTGTTCATATCCTTTGCCCACTTTTTGATGGGGTTGTTTGTTTTTTTCTTGTAAATTTGTTTGAGTTCTTTGTAGATTCTGGATATTAGCCCTTTGTCAGATGAGTAGATTGCAAAAATTTTCTCCCATTCTGTAGGTTTCCTGCTCACTCTGATGGTAGTTTCTTTTGCTATGCAGAAGCTCTTTAGTTTAATTAGATCCCACTTGTCAATTTTGGCTTTTGTTGTCATTGCTTCTGGTGTTTTAGACATGAAGTCTTTGCCCATGCCTATGTCCTGAATGGTATTGCCTAGGCTTTCTTCTAGGGTTTTTATGGGTTTAGGTCTAATATTTAAGTCTTTAATCCATCTTGAATTAATTTTTGATGAAGTCCTGCTATGTTGCTCAGGCTAGACTTGAATTCCAGTTCTCAATAAATCCTCCTGCCTTGGCCTCCCAAAGTGCTGGGATTATAGGCATGAGTCACTGCACCTGGGCAGCAATTTTAAAAATCTATTAAATTACAGTTTATTTACAAATCCATGTGAGAGATACAAGATGCATTTGCTTTTTTATCACTTTACTTTTAGGATCACATATACAGGTATTAGGGTGATCTGATAACTTCTCCTGTTCTTTACTAATATTGGCATAAATTCTGCCTTTAGGGATTATAAATAAATATATATATGTGTGTATATATATATATGTGTTTGTCTGTGAGTATATATATATATATATATATATATATATATATATATTTGATTACCACAAATACATATATGTTTTTGACAGTCCCTAAAAGTGTGCCAGAATTAGACTTTCATGCATAAAAATAAAGAGATTTGAGCTTTCAATCATGGATATGCTACGTTAATGCTCCTCAAAGTATTTACTTACAAATTAGTAGGAATGAGTGAATCAACTCTAAAACTGACAAAGAAATGTTATCCAGAGTATTTTAAAGCATAAAAAAACAATTACCTGAGTGCAATAGGAGTATAACAAGTGAAGTCACCTTTATTAAAATGAGCATTGTCTCATTACTTTTCATCTCTTTCAATCTAATGTCTTATTTCACTATTTGTGTATAATAATGACATATTTTTAAGTTCATTCTTTCTTATAATAAGGAGTCTAATTCAATTTTTTAAATGTTTAACTGTCGTCGGCTTTTGAGCAGAACCCCTGTATTTGGCATGTGCTGGGAATTCAGAGTATGAGCAAGAACCCTCATCCCTATACAATTCTCTAACCATCATTATTATTCTTATCCATCTCAAGTTAATTTTTAGCTCAGTTGGAAGTCCTGACACTCTCTCCCCAAAAAGCTTCACATATGAATTTTAAAAAAATTCATATACTCTTGTATATGTGAATGTGGCACCATTACTATGACATCTAAACCAAATCTTTCCCTCTTGTGTACATGACCTGAGCCAAATCTTGAGTGAGGATCTATTCTGATTCTGTAGGATGACTATGATTTTGCTTTGCTCAGCTATGTTCTTTAAATTATTAGACATCTTTGGATGAATATTCTTTTTTACATTGTTATAATGTTTAACAAATAAAAAGTAACAACATAAGTCCCTGAATTAATAGAATAAAGTTTAGAGAAGTGGGAAACTGTTCCCCATGATAAATATAAACATCATTTATTTTCTTTGGTTTATTTTTGTCTTTTGGGGGCCTGAACATCACACAAATGTCTTTGTGGCCTATCTCTGGAAAATTAATTATTTTAAGCTATCTAAATATATTTAATTAAATTCTATGCATAGTAGAGGAAGCAGGATTATTTTAAAACTAATTATACATAAAATTGTTGTAGGTCTGGCAGTGGAGCTGATGGTTCTTATAGCTTTCAATAGTTTGTGTACAGTTATTTTCAACTATACATTCAGTGATGCCATGCTGGTAACTTGTTTTAGGCTGAAGTGGAAGTATTTGCAGCATCACAATTGTCAAAGTCTACAAATTAGGGTTGCTTTTGTTTGTTTGTTTGTTTGTTTCAGCACCGTTGTATTTTACAAATATAAATACAGGTGAATGATTTTATTTTGGCTTCAACAATAATGCCTGTCTACTAGTTACTAACTGGAGTGTTTTAGCTATTTTTAAATTTATTGAATTACAATTTGCTCACAAATCTGCATAAAAGATGTAGTGACAAGTTCACTTTCAATAGGTTAATTTGGTTTTTATCTTCCTCATTGCTACCTTTAAAGCCTACTGGTATGCAAGCAGTAAAAAAGTAGACTGAGGACACATTATGATCAAGTGTTATCTATCTTATATCAAATCTACTTGAATTCGTTAGCTAGGCAACAGTTTTCTTCAAACATGTTTTTCCTCATAAAAATAGGTAATCTTTTACATAAATGGCTCTTATTAATGGCTATTAAAGTAGACTAAAGAGCTATTTACCAATGTGTGAATACCATCTTGAAAAATAAATAAGAATCTCTGGAAGCAGAACCCCAAGATATTTTAATTAGAAACCAATTCTGAAAGCCACGCATATTTTTCTATGGGCAATATGACTACCCTTCATTTCTTACAACTCAAACTTGACCTTCTGAATATCCCTCATTAAGAAGATATTTCCTTGATAAGAAAGGAGAGCCACATCTGTGGCAGTGACTAAAATTATTGTGCAGGAATTGTTTCTGGCGAGTAATTGAATAACAGATGTTGTAGCCAAATTGCCAGATCATTCTCACATTCATGTCAATGAGAAACTACTAAGCACAAAGAATTATTTTGCAACATATGACATCACCAGATTAATCTTACGTGTGTTAATACAGCAAGTGATAGCATGTCATAAAGTGTTTATATAGAGACCTGTGTAAGAGATCCCTTAAAACAATTAACATATTGAAAGAAAAATCCTTATATCTAGAAAGCAGAAGTAGCAGAAAAACTATTGGAGACTTTCAATGAATACGAAGAAGTGAATAAATAGATTTTTTTTATCAAATTAAAGATCTGATCTTTGTAAGTAATTCTGTTTTGGAAATTTAATGAATAAAATATCTAAACTATGAATAACAGTTGTACATAGCTATTTATAATTTTCTAATATTTATTTATCATAAAGATATAAAAAGAGAATCAATAAAGCAAATACTACATGACTCAAGAACTACCTAATACACAGGACATAGCATATTGGTACACAATAATTTCTTAAATTTCTCATATCGGGAAACAGTCTCTTGAGGGGTTAAGGCAGCTGCTCATGTTGACTAAACTAGTAAGAGGCATAACCAGATTTAAACCTTTTTCCTCTAAACATCTTAATACTTGGTGAAACTTGTTTCACAATCTTTTCTGCTTTTTTTCCATAATTAAGGGTAGCTATACTCAGTCGCTTCATTAATTCCAACCTCATGCAGTTTATTTATTTAACAAACATTTTCTGAGTGACTTCTATGTGCTGTGATAGGTGCAATGGATTCAAAAGTGAATAAAACAAAATAGTTTTGCTCTTGTTGAACTTAGAAACTAGTAATTTGAAGAAGCTATTATTCTAGTATTTTAAGACTTCCTAAAGCCAAACGTAATTAAGAAAAAGTATAAACCCAGATATGCTGGATGAAGCAGCTTTGTGTTCTGGCTGCCTCTGAAGCCAATGGGCAGTTCTAGTGGTGTAGGAGGTGACAGTTAAATGCTATAGTCTTTGATAGATTGGTGTCAAGATGGGAACAGGTGTTTGGCTGGAGAATTCCTGCACATCAGGCTGTATACATTTCTGCCAGCAGGGTAAAATATCCTTAATAACTCTCCTTCACAGAATCCATGACAGAAATAATATAAACTGGAATTCCTATGAAGGGAATTATGTCTAGTTTATAATCTTACTGTCATGATTCAACTCATGATTGATCATGAGCTTTCAGGAAGACAGAACTGACCACCATTTTGTAACTTTGACATTTCTTTACAGTTTCTCAGGACATTAAAATTTCCAATTCCTACACATCTCCTTCTTTGTCAGTCACTGATCAAATGAACACTTGTCAAAGTAAATTTTCAAAAAGTAAAACGTCCCTCAAATTAGTAATAGCCATTTATGACAGACGCACACCCAACATCATACTGAATGGGCAAAAGCTGAAAGCACTCGCCTTGAAAACGGCACAAGGTAAGGATGCCCTCTCTTACACTCCTATTTAGCATAGTATTGGAATTCCTGCCCAGAGCAATCACACAAGTGAAAGAAACAAAAGGCATCCAAATAGAAAGTTCTCTTCTCAAGTCAAACTCTACCTTTACTGATGACATTATTGCATATCTAGAAAACTCTAAAGACTTCACCAAGGTCTTACTAGAACTAATAAAAATTTTTAGTAAGGTTTCAGGATACAAATATATGTAGAAAAATCAGTAACATTTCTATACACTAATAATGTCCAGGCTGAGTCAAATCAAGAACACAGTCTCATTTACAATAGCCGCAAATAAAATGAAATACGTAGGAATACAGCTAATGAAGAAGGTGAAAGATCTCTATAAGGAGAACTATAAAACATTGATGAAAGAAATCAAAGATGACATAAATGATTGGAAAGACATTCCATGCTCATTGAATAGAAAAATAAGTATCATTAAAATGATCATACTGTCCAAAGCAGTTTACAGATTCAACACTATTTCTATTAAACTACCAACTTAATTCTTAGCAGAAGTAGAAAAAGACTATTCTAAGATCTATATGGAACCAAAAAAAAAGAGCATGAATAGTCAAAGCAATTCTAAGCAAATAGAACAAAGCTGGAGGCACCACACTACCCAACTTCAAACTATACCATAAGGCTATAGTAATCAAAACAGCATAGTATTGCTACAAAAACAGATACATAGACCAGTGGAACCGAATAGAAAACTCAGAAATAAAGCCTCACAATTAAAACCACCTAATTTTTGGCAAGGCTGACCAAAGCAAGCAATGGGGAATGGACTCCCTATTCAATAATTGCTGCTGAGGTAACTGGCTAGCCATATACAGAAGGATAAAACTGAACCCTTACTTTTCACCATATACAAAAATTAACTCAAGATGGATTAAAGATTTAAAGACATCGAATTATAAAAATCCTAGAAGAAAACCTAGGAAATACCCTTCTCAACATTAATCTTGGCAAAGAATTTTTGGCTAAGTCTCTAAAAGCAATTGCAACAAAAACGAAAATTGATGAGTGGGACCTAATTAAAGTGTTTTCTCCGAGCAAAAGAAACTATCATAGAGTAAACAGACAACCTAAAGAATGGCAGAAGATATTCACACGCTAGGCACCTGACAAAGTCCTAATATCCAGAATCTATAGGGAACCTAAACAAAACTAGAAGCAAAAACAAATAACACCATTAAAACATGGGCAAAGTACATGAATAGACACTTCTCAAAAGAAAATATACAGGTGACCATCAAACATGAAAAAATACTCATCATCACTAATCACCAGAGAAATGAAAATCAAAACCACAATGAGCTATCATCTCACACCAGTCAGAATGGCTATTATGAAAAAGTTAAGAAGAAACAGATCCTGGCAATGTTGCAGAGAAAAGGAAACATTTATACACTGTTGGTGAGAATGTAGATTAGTTCAGCCACTGTGGTAAGCAGCTATTTCTCAAAGAACTTAAAAACAGAGCTGCATTAGACCCATCAATCCCATTACTGAGTATATATTCAAAGGAAAATAAATCATTATACCAAAAACCACATGCACTTGTATAATCATCACTGCACTATTCACAATAACAAAAATATGAAATCAAGTGAGGTGTCCATCAACAATGGATTGGATAAAGAAAATGTGTTACATATGCACCATGGACTACTACACAGCCATAAAAAATAATAAAATCATGTCCTTCACAGCCACATGGATGGAGCTGGAGGCCATAATCCTAAGCCAATTAACACAGAAACAGAAAATGTGTATTCACATTTATAAGTGGGAGCTAAACATTGAGCACACATGGACATAAACATGGGAAAAACAGATGCTGCGGACTAGTAGATGGAGGAACGGAGAAAGCATGGGTTGAAAAACTACCTATTGGGTACTCTTCTCACTACCTGTATGTAATATACCCATGTAATAAATCTGCACATGTATCTCCTGTATCTAAAGTAGAAGTTTAATTTTGAAAAAAATAAAATAAAAACATAATTGTAATGCACACAAAGAAAATACACATGTGAAATACTTATATGATCAATATTGACAGAATTGGTAAGGTTGTAAAGATGCTTCCAGGAACATTTGAGGAACTGTAAATTTATAGAAATTTAAAAAATGTGAGAATAAGATCACTAGATTAGATGGAGAACAGAATAAGCCTCTACTAGGGCAACAAAATCATAATCTTTGGAGTCAACTTTTCTTTTTTATTTTATCAGTTTTATTATTTGTAAAGTCTACACTTGGTGAATCAAAGTGAAAAAAGACAACTCCAATGTACAAGACAATATTAAACTATGTTTACAGATGCTAAAGAAATTCAGAGAAAGGGAGAGATTTTATGGGTTAAAATGGAGTCAACATTTCTTCTGGAAAGAAATATACAAGTTAACATTTAACTTTGCACCTTCTAGGAAATAATCAATTAGAAGAAGGCAAAGCAAAAGCAGATATATTGTTCTAGAGAATTAAATACTCCTTAGTAGGACTATTAAAATATGGCCAGAGTGACAATGAAAGAACATTCTGTACTCTTTTTGCCTTATTTTAAAAGTTTGGATAATCTTTCTTAACACTTCATGCCAAATTAATATCTGTTTCCACTCTATTTAGGGATACACCTAAATGTTAACTGTCATCTTTGAAAAAAGGTGATATTAAAATTCATCAGACCATACCTTATATATCATTTACACCTTGCTTAAGATATTAAAATACAATGCAGTCAAACGTTGGAAATCCTAGCATTTTAAAAATATATATATTTTGAATTATTGCTCTCTTCTGATGCAGTTTGATAAACTGAAAGCAACTATGAGTTCATCAACATGGTATATAGCATCTATACTAAAAAGGCTATATCACATTGCAATTGATTACTAGGTTTCACCAATCTTTCCCAAGGTAATTTTAAGATGCCTAAAGGACATACTTATTTCATATTCAAGAAATAAATTACAAGATTTAAAACATCAAGATATGAAACTGATATGTGCCACTAATCCTCTAATTTTCTAACGCTGTTTATTCCTGTAACATATAAATATTTTGTGCACTTTCTTTTATAATGATTTTTACTATATATTTGCTGAAGAGCACACATTATGCTCCAAAATTTGTCAGTTCCCAGATCCTATTGAACAGTTCTAATCTGCTTAGTTTGCACTGCTGTACCTCAAAGAATTCTTTCAATATGTATTTGAAAGTGTTTCTATCTTTAAATGTGAAGGTTTTCAAATTTCCTCTACTGAAAAATTGAATATTAAAATATGCAAATATCAGTAGCATTTGTATATCTACTTTCCTCGGCATTTTTCTTAACAACTGAGGATCTTCTTGAGCTCACAGAAGACATACGCATACAAGCATTTGGAAAAAAGCACTTTTCATTCACTTCCTCTCTCACCTGGGGAGAGAAAATGCTGAAGGAATATAAAATTGGCAATACCAGATATTTGTTTTTCCTGCTCTCTCTTATTTAATTTCCAGACTTGAATGTCTAACTTTGTAGCAGAAATTTAAGTACTTTCTGATGAAATTCAAGTTGCCCAACACAAAATTTATCATCTTCTCTCCATACTTTTTCATTTACTGAAATAGCAGTTTATTTTAATATAGCTGCAACTTCTATCTGCATATATCTATTACAATTGAGTCCAAATTCTTTTTTTACAGACATGAGCCATTGTTGACAACATCCTCCCTCATTGTCATTAGGTGATGATGATCACACTAAAGTTATTTTATTTTTTATAAATTTAGATTTTTTTTCTGTCCTGTCCTTTCATATGAGCTTCTCATCTAGCCCCAAATTCTCAGATGTTTTCTTTTTGATAGCACAGAATTTGCACCATTGTTTAGATTAGATTGAAGATCATTCCTGGTAAAAATATTATTAACCGAGACTAAAAATTATTAATGCTGATACCAGTGCAGCCAGACTACAATGTAAGACTAGAAAATAAAATAATAGCAATACATGCCAGAGAATCTTAGATAAAAATACGTATCCCTAATATGTTTTCACATTTAAGAGAAATGCAGTTTTTTAAATAATTTTATAGTTAATCAAATTCTGTGCCATCATTTTTTGCTCTTGCTTAAATTATTTGCTACATTTCATTCTATATAGTTACACACCAATACTGAACACCTGCTATTTACTTTATTTATTTTATTTTATTTATGTATTTATGTATGTATGTATGTATGTATGTATTTATTTATTTATTTTGAGACAGAGTCTCGCTTTGTTGCCCAGGCTGGAGTGCAGTGGCGTGATCCTGGCTCACTGCAAGCTCCGCCTCCTGGGTTTAAGCAATTCTCCTGCCTCAGCCTCCCCAGTAGCTGGGATTACAGGCACGTGCCATCACACCTGGCTAATTTTTGTATTTTTAGTACAGACGGGGTTTCACCATCTTGGTCAGGCTGGTCTTGAACTCCTGACCTCATGATCCACCCCCGTCGGCCTGCCAAAGTGCTGGGATACAGGCATGAGCCACCATGCCCGGCCACACCTGCTATTTATAACTATGTGTTTTCTTTGTTGCTGATGTCTCTCCTGACCCTGTAATAAAATACTATTTATTAAAACAACCTTTCAGAGATTTTACACCTGTGACATCACAAACCTTCAACAGATGTGAAGATATCACATATTTGTTTTTTATTTATCGATTTGTTCTATCTATAAAATATACAATTCTAGCTTTAAATATAATTTAAGAATTAAGCAAATCTGAGGCCTCAAGCCTTCACAATGATAAAATCACACTTGAATGAACTATTAATACTTCAGTTCTAAATTAGAACTCATTACATAGAATGATGGCTTGAGAAATGATAGACATCCAGGATCAGATAATCGTTTGCTCTAAAGAGCTGCACAGTTCAAGCCTTTTGATATCAGCCTGCAGGATCACAGATGACATTCTCCTTACCTTGTATCCTAGGATTCAACTTTACAGTCAGAAACTTCTAAGTTAAGTCACAATGCGTTTATCAGTTTTATTTGAATACTTAGTAATAGAACTATTTTTGTTATCAAATAAATATTCACTATACATTTACAGATTTATTGGAATCACTCCTCCCCATCCAGACTAAATAGAGTTTTTCATAGACAAAAATGTTCATGTTACGAATAGGAAAGCTTTTCCTTCCTTCCTTCCTTCCTTTCTTCCTTCCTTCCTTCCTCCCTCCCTCCCTTCCTTCCTTCCTCCCTTCCTTCCTTCTTTCCTTCCTTCCTCCCTCCCTTCCTCCCTTCCTTCCTCCTTTCCTTCCTTCCTTCTTTCCTTCCTTCCTCCCTTCCTTCCTCCTTTCCTTCCTTCCTTCCTCCTTTCCTTCCTTCCTTCCTCCTTTCCTTCCTTCCTTCCTTCCTTCCTTTCCTTCCTTCCTTCCTCCTTTCCTTCCTTCCTCCCTTCCTTCCTTTCCTTCCTTCCTTCCACATTTCCTTGCTTCCTCCCTTCCTTCCTTCTTTCATTAAAACATCCCTCCCTTCCTCCGTTCCTTCCTCCTTTCCTTCCTTCCTTCCTCCCTTCCTTCCTTTCCTTCCTTCCTTCCTCCTTTCCTTCCTTCCTCCTTTCCTTCCTTCCTTTCCTTCCTTCCTCCTCTCGTTCCTTCCTCCTTTCCTTCCTTCCTTCCTCCTTTCCTTCCTTCCTCCCTTCCTTCCTTTCCTTCCTTCCTTCCTCCTTTCCTTCCTTCCTTCCTCCTTTCCTTCCTTCCTCCCTTCCTTCCTTTCCTTCCTTCCTTCCTCCTTTCCTTCCTTCCTTCCTCCTTTCCTTCCCTCCTCCTTTCCTTCCTTCCTTCCTTGCGTCCTTCCTTCTTCCCTCCCTCCCTTCCTCTCTCTCTTCCTGGCTTCCTTCCTCCCTTCCTTGCTTCCTTCCTTCCTTCTTCTAATGTGTGTACTATTATTTCCCCTTATATTTATTTAACATCTCTTTTCCCTCAAACACTAACTCATAATAAATATTAACCAAGTGTTTTTGAAGTAATACACCATTTGTATTATTATTTCTACCACTCACAGTTACCTTAACTAGAAAGCTGAGCCACACCAGTTTATTCTTCATAATCAAAATGAAAATAATTATGGTATTTACATTAATATCATTTTACTATCATTATCATCATCATTATCATTATGATCATCATCTTTTCTCAGACATCTACTATGCAATTATGTTTATTGTAATTCCCTCATATTTTAGTTCAAAATATATTTTATATTGATAAAATATTTTAAAACCTTACAGAAACCATCTTTAGGCAGTACTTCAAAAGAAAGTAAAATGCTTTAATAGGATGTCTCCAAATAACTTGAAACTTCTAATTGTAATTCATAGAACTCCAATACTATGTGCAAATTAATGTTCAATAATGTTTTTTGACAGTAATCATTGAACACACTTTTATTTTCAAAGCTCATTTCCAACTGTCACTTTTCAGAATGAATTTAACCTTTTCAAAGACTAAAGTTAAGCTATTTAGAGTTTTCACACTATATATCGTGAGTTTTTATTATTGTATTAAAAATGTATTTTAATACAGTTAATTTTTCAAATGATAACATCAATAACTTGGGATGCATTCTAATATGTTGCATAATAAGAGAAAAAACATTTAGTGTCAATTACGACCCAGGTACTCTTGTATATACTTTACAGATATTAACTTAGTTAATCCTCACAATTCTTTGAGTTAGTTACTGTCATTGGTCTCATTACTTAAAACAGGAGACAGAGGCATGAAGTGGATAAAAAGCCTGCCAAAGATAATATACCTATGTAATTGTGGATCAATAATTCAAATCCAGGCTGTCAAACAATATCGTTTATTTTTTTAACCAAACTGCTAAACATGTATAAATTACAGTAAAAAGCTATCACCAATTGATACAACTCAGATTGTGCCTTAATCTATTTTTTCAAGTGCATAGTCCATTTGTGTGAGTAGACTACCTTCTGTGAGATTCGCTTTTTAAAAATAAATGCATCTTCATTTTTAATTTCTAAGCTAAATTTTGATGACTATAAAAATATAATACAATGAGTTCATCAAAAGATTTAAGAAGAATGCTGCAAAGTGAACAGATTGGATTTTCCACCCCATAGATGAAATATCTCCATCTTATCAAGTCATTTAAATAATATGGGCATGAGGCATACTGAGAAATAGAATGAAGCAAGTGATAAGAGAGGAGATCCTAGGGTTGCATCAACAATAAAGAATGGCAGAGAGAAGAAGTTTGTGTTTTCCTATTGCATAAAATCTCAATGATCAGGCTTATGAAAAAACAAACCTTCACCAGACTGTAATTCTCTCAGGAGGCTGGGGACAGAATGAGAATAAAGGGATCTTAAGAAGTAAATTCTAGGCTTATGCAAAAAAATTAAAGATGCTACTATAAAAGTTTCTAAGGAAATGTTATGTAATATCAATTAAAGGACAGGCTTTCCTCGAATAACTAAATCCACAATTTTATTTCATAGATCAAAATCGAATATGTTCCCCAATATTATTGAAAATGATGATATGTTTTGAACTGAATTATTTGATTATTGCAACTCCCGAAGTGCAAATTCACTCTTAATAAGTAATGGAGAAGTCAAAGAAGTAAGCTACAAATATTCCCACCTTAGAATTTTGTCTTATATTTAAAATACTACATATAACGTCTGTAGAATTGCCACCATATATAAAGCTTGCATTATTAAATTTGTCTTGTGACAACATATTGTCTCACTGCCGATATTAAACCAAAACCCATTAATAAAAGGGAATTTACCCTATATATTTATTTATTTGTATGCCGACATAGGATTCGGCACAGGACCTTGCAGAGAATGGGTGCCTGATAAATGTTGCACAGTGTAACGTTTAGAAACAGGCAACTTTGCAAATAGAGGCTAAGAATACATATTCATTACTTTGTTTCTGAAAGTAATCTGAATGTGGAATATAATTTACACTAATAAAGTTTGAATCATTCTTCATGGAAACCCCTGCTGTTCTAATCAATAAAGCCAACATTATGAAAGAAAAAAAATAAAAGATCTAGGTATGTTGACTCTGGTGCCAACTATATCCCTAAGGATTTCTTCTGTCATTTAATCTAATTATACCCAGTACTCTTATAATCATATTAAAACTTTTCTTAATGAAGAAAGGAGAGTAATCTACATCTTCTTACTGTTTTTCCAAAAATTAAGGAAGAAAAATAGATTTAGGAATACTAAGCATTCACTAAGATATCTGAATAGGTGTTATGTTGTTTTATGTAACAACCCTCTAATGATTGTATACATTTTCTTTATTTACTGTGCTTTAGATTTTTATTTAATTTATATTATTCTTTAGAAAAACTTATATTTGTCATGCTAAGAAAATTACCAACCATAACTTTACTTTTAATCAATATTGTTTATATTTTCAGAAACAACTGAACTATCCACAGGTTTTTTCAATAAAGCAAGGCTGAAATCCAATCCTCAAAAGAAGCAAATTGACACTATTCATTTTTATTTGTACATTCATTTATTCAGTTAATTACATTTTCATTTTTGTCAGAAGATGTTCAGAAATCATTTGATGTGGTCAAAGTTAGCACCAGAATCTAGGATTATATTATAGCCACCTCTCTCAGAAGCAGCGATTTGTGATTTGTCCAAACCATAAGAAAGAAAGTTTCTACTTTAGGATGTCAAGTATCAAAAAATGAATTAATTTATCTCAATTATGCTACAATAAATGAGTCAGAAGAATACAATATATAAACCTGAGAGGGAACAAAATTTGCAAATGATCTCTAAAATTTCCTCCATGTCAATCTAACAGGATTGACATACCACTTCCTACCAAAACAGACAAATATGGAAGTACCTCTGGAACCTATAACCACAAAGAAATCAGTATTATATATATATGTCTATATATGTCTATATATGTACATATGTACAGTATGTCTATATATGTGCATATGTAGAGTATTTGTCTATATATGTGCATGTGTACAGTATATGCCTGTATGTGTACATGTATGTACAGTATGTCTATATTATGTATATATGGACATATGTACAATATGTCCATATATGGACATATATACCCTATGCCCCTTGAATATATGTTAGTGTGTATATATAAATATAAATGTGTCTATATATAGTGTGTACATGGATACATATGTATATGTACATATGTACAGTATGTCTACAGTATATGTAATATATGTATTTAATACGTATTTTAATATGCTTAATTTTGTGGATCAAAAATTACATATGTACAGTATGTATATATGTACACATGTACATATGTACAGGATATCAGTATATGTGTATATACACATATATACATATGTATGTGTCTATATAGGTACATACAGACATATGTATGTGTCTATATAGGTACATACAGACATATGTATGTGTCTATATAGGTACATACAGACATATGTATGTGTCTATATAGGTACATACAGACATATGTTTGTGTCTATATAGGTACATACAGACATATGTATGTGTCTATATAGGTACATACAGACATATGTATGTGTCTATATAGGTACATACAGACATATGTATGTGTCTATATAGGTACATACAGACATATGTATGTGTCTATATAGGTACATACAGACATATGTATGTGTCTATATAGGTACATACAGACATATGTATGTGTCTATATAGGTACATACAGACATATGTATGTGTCTATATAGGTACATACAGACATATGTATGTGTCTATATAGGTACATACAGACATATGTATGTGTCTATATAGGTACATACAGACATATGTATGTGTCTATATAGGTACATACAGACATATGTATGTGTCTATATAGGTACATACAGACATATGTATGTGTCTATATAGGTACATACAGACATATGTATGTGTCTATATAGGTACATACAGACATATGTATGTGTCTATATAGGTACATATATACACCATGTCCCTCAACTATATATATTTGTGTATACACATAATTATAATTACAAATGTGTGTGTCTATATATATAATATGTATATATATGCACAAATTCATGCTTAGTAAATGACAGAGAAATCAAAGAAGCTACAAATGTTCCCACTTTTTCTACCTTAGAATTTTGTCTCATATTTAAATACTACATATAATGCCTGTATATATATATATGTATATATAAAAATACTGTACCCCTCAACAATTATATATATATAATAGTTGTTCATAGAAATGCTGAATAGTAGTAATATTTAGCTAATCTACTTAATATGTCAGGAATTCTATCAGTACTTGATTGCTAACCCTAGTCAGAAAAAATTACCAAGGATATTTAACAGATAACAAAAGCGGCATTTAGAGAGATCAAATCACATACCTTATAAGGAGAAGAGCTAGAATCTAAATCCACGTATATTTGCCACTTTTTTTTTTTCTTAAGCCATTGGGAACCAGGATGTTGACATTTTACAGACCAGAAAAATCTGATTCCATATACTTCCCCAAATTACAACAAGCAACATAAGATTGTGATCTTCTTATTTTAAAAAGGGAATTATTAATGATAAATGTATGAGCTACCATCAAATATCATTGTATTTTCCCAAAGTCTTATGTTTACTTTCTCTTACTCTTGATGAAAATTTCTGTGTTCCTTCCTTCCTTTTTTTCTTCAAAAATTTCCTCAATATGAACTATTTGCATGTAAGGATTAGTAAATTCCTCCCTTAAAATATTCATTTGTTTGAGAATTTAGATAAAAAGAAAACTGACACATTACTTACTGGTATAAATAATTGAGTCACTGTAGTTGATGTAAACAACTTCTGATTAAACGCCATTTATTCACGGAACCAGGTAAGATGCAGATCAACTGAGTTTAAACATATTGCTCCAGTTTTCCTCAAATCTTATACATACATATATATATATATATATATATATATATATATATATTATACTGACAGTATACATATATGCATATATGTAGCTGGTTACACTTATACATGTATATATAGATAGAAATTATGAAATTATGGCTTTTAGTGGACTGGCTACACATGGAAATCTACTACATTTAGTTTTCCTCAGGTAATTTTGACTTTTCTGACACACAACTGTTAAACCTTTTAACACTGAATGAGTACTGGATTTCTTCACGAATCAAATTTATTTTAAATGTCCAAGAGTGAAAAGGCACACATTAATATATCTGAACTATTCATATTTTTCAAATGTCTGTTCTCCAAAATCTTCTCTAATATAAAACCAAAATCAGGGCATAAAGATCATTACTTGTTTTATCTTCTGGGCATAACAAGTATTAAAATTTCTGTTTATTTTTTCCTTACTGTTAGGGAGAAGATTTTCTTATTTTGTATATGATGGTGTCGAGTATGAATTTTGTTCTTCCTTTTATAACAACTTCATACTGGATACCATCATACACAATAAAGGGGAAAATCTGCGCAAGCCTGGTTGAAAGGGTATCACAGATGTTGAAGTTTTAATCTGGTGTATTTTTTGTCATCAATACACAGGCATGTGTGTGCACATATGCAGACACACACAGAAACACATACACACATATACACCAGATTGCCTAGAACAGAGAGGGAAAAGAAAACTTTACACGTAAAGGTAAAGGAGGTCACTTTTATGCAAGGAATGAGCAAAGCTCTAACACAATAAGAAGTATAAGGCAGATCTCACAGCACATGCATCAACAAACCTTGGAACCAGAAAACTTAACAGGAAAAAAATAAAAACTCCTCAAGAAACACTTTATAGGTAGTATACTTTTTTAAAGTGTATCTTCAAAGAAATGCCTTTTAGAACTCCCTAAATATGCTCTAGCTGGACTTGCTTACAACCACAAGAGGCAAAAGGGGTCCAAGGAATCAAATGAATCACTAAAGAAGACTACTGTGCTGTAAGTACCACAGAACCAAAATATTTAGTCTGTCTAAATCTGTGTCACTCAAGTCACTACAATTGGCTCAAAGATAAGAATTTCAACTAATATGGAAAAATAATGAAGATGCTCAGTTCCTTTTTTTTTTTTTTTAGATGGAGTCTCACTCTGTCGCTCTGTTTCTGAGGCTGGAATGCAGTGGTAGCATCTTGGTTCACTGCAACCTCCGCCTCCCGGGTACAAGTGATTCTCCTTCCTCAGCCTCCCTAGTAGCTGGGATTACAGGTGCACGCTGCCACACCTGGCTAATTTTTGTATTTTTAGTAGAGACAGGGTTTCACCATGTTGGCCAGACTGGTTTCAAACTCCTGACCTCAGGTGATCCGCCCGCCTCAGCCTCCCTAGTAGCTGGGATTACAGGCGCACGCTGCCACACCTGGCTAATTTTTGTATTTTTAGTAGAGACAGGGTTTCACCATGTTGGCCAGACTGGTTTCAAACTCCTGACCTCAGGTGATCCGCCCGCCTCAGCCTCCCAAAGTGCTGGGATTACAGGCACCAGCCACTGTGCCCAGCCAAGATGCTCAGTTCTTAAGATTTAATTTCATCTATCAGAAGAAGTAGAATAAATATACAAGAAATTTAAAAACAATTATTGAGAATCTTTTAAAAATATTTTTTTTTCAGTTGGGTTATGTAAGATTTTTATCTGTCTCCCTCACCTTCTTATTGTAACCTATCACTTCCTATCCAACATTTAATACTTTATCATACTGGAAGGGAATGGAAGTGATGCACTGGGACATATGAAAAGTTTACAGAAATTTTTTCAACTTAATTAATAAAATAAATGCCTATAAAGAGAAAAGTCAATGATGTTATTTCTTCAGGCAAAGTTTTCACAGATGGCACTGAATAATTATTTTTAATTCTGAATGTAAAGATATACAAGATGCGACATGTTACTTACCTCAGCAAGCAAAGTGATAAACCCACAACATTTTTATTAAAATTATATATAGAAACAACACTGGTTTTGATATGGAAGAAAAATGTAAATAGAGGGAAAAACATGTACAATTGATCTTAACAAAATAAAAAACATTATTTTCTCATAATTGATATTTCCGACTGTTGCTGGTAATACTTTTCCTGATATGAGTTAGTGAAAGAATACAAATAATACAGTATATTAGTTGTACAGATACTATTTCTCATTGTAAGGTTTGATGAATAATTACAAATTTATAGAAAATGGAAGATGCACTTCAGTGCTGTTTTTAACGAGTATATATAATATCTGCTCTGAATTATTAACTTTATTATAAATTATATATTATTGAGTGTCATTTATTATTTTCTGTCTTAAAGTGTTTACAGGGGGCAAATGTAAATTCAAAACAGTTTTGACTATATATGTTATAAAGCTAGAGGTTTTATTTACCAATATAACACAACAGCAAATAGACGATCTGAGTATGTTATTGTTCTCAGCTTCCCTTTAGGTTAGGATACCGGCAAGCTTCCTCAGACTGGATACTATGCAGATGGTTAAGGGAGACATAGTTTTATCTGCTTACTTGTTCAATTATTTGTCTATTTTTACTGATAGCCTTACTTGAACTCCCATCTTGTTCTCGAAATAGTACTAGTCACTAGAATACAGCAGAAGTCCTCTGAGGCTCAGATGAACAGACGGAATTAGAATAACAAGAAAATTTTTGGGAGAAACAACAGGGAAAGATGAAGGGGAAAGGAAGCAGGAGGCAGCAGGAGCTTTCAGTCCATGAGGCAGGTCTGATACCTGTGAAAGAATAAGGGAAAAGAAGGGAAATAGAATAGGAAAAGAATCCGAAAGTAGTGTAGTTCTGAAAAGAAAAAAAAAATCTCAGAAAGTCTGATAAGGAGATTCAGAACAAAGAATACCCATTAGAGGAGTTTTGCTCAGGCAGGAATGGCCTGGCTCTAGTACCCACTGGGATCAGTCACTGGCAAGGAGCAGCCCGGGGACGTTGATATGGGTGCTGCAGCAGATCCCGAAGTTGCAGCAGCTGAAAGCTTCCCTTTAACTAATATGAAGGCATATCAGAGAGGATCCCCTCCATGGTTATTACAGATATCAATGATACAGTTTCTATGCACAAGTTCAGAGTGTGGTGAGAGCATACGATAAACAATTATATGAGAAACATACACACATTAGAGTAAGATGCTGTGAGGACCCAAGAAAGGGATGTGTAACTCAGGTGAAAGAGAGGTAATTGTTCTGACATGGCATATTGGATCTGAGTAAGGCAGGATGAGACAGAGATATCCAGATTAACAAAGGAGAGGGAAAAGCTTTGGCAGCACCAATAGTCTACATAAAGGCTGCAACACATAGAGAGCAAGGTGAGTAAGGTGAGTGCTATTAATCACAAATTGTTTTCAATTCTGTATGGCTAAAGTAAAAAAAACAAACAAAAAAACATTAAACATGGCCACAAATATGGATCTCTTCCACTGAGATAAGTAGCCTAATTTTCCTCACTTTAAAGATGGACTGGCCTTACCAATTTCTTTGACCACTAGAAGGCAGGTGGTGTGGCATTATGGAATTTTTGAAGCTAGGCTATAAAAATCATTACAAGTTCATCTAGCTCTCTTAAAATGTTCACTCTGAGGGAAGCCAGTCACCTTGTGTGTAGGAGGGGTCCTGCTACCTTGATATCACTCTGCAGTGAGGAAGCCCAGGCTAACAATGCAGGGAGGTGGTGTGTGTGTCTGTGTGTGTGTGTGAGAGAGAGAGAGAGAGAGAGAGAGAGAGAGAGAGAGAGAGACAGGGACAGAGAAACAGAGAGCTGACGAGGCCTAGATATTCCAGCCATCCCAGTTTACATGCCAGAGTTGAGAAGCCATTCTGGTCATTCTAGGGCCAGGCTCACATGAAAAAGAATGAAAAATCCAGATGAAAGTCAGACTGGGAGATATGAATTATTTCAGCTTTCTCCACCTATTTGAGACACCTTACCTGAGACTCTGGTCATCATGGAGCAGAAACGAACTGCTCCTGCCAAACCCTCTCTAAATGCCTAATGCACACACACACACACACACACACACACACACACACACACACACAAACATGATCCTAATGAACAGTGTTATTTTATGTCATAAAGTTTTGGAGTGGTTTGTTACACGCCAATATATAACAAACAGACATAATGGCAAGAAGAAAATGTCTAAGAGGTCACCTGAGGGTATACTGTAAATGCCTTGTTTCAATCCCAAGGAATTTGAGTTCTATATGGAAAGCAATGCAGAGCTATGAAAGGATAAACTTAAGTATGACTGAGTCTGAAATGTAAATCTGAAAGGTCACTCTCTAGATAATCCACAAATAATGGATTAGAAATAAGTGAACCTTGAAAGGGAGATTACTCAGGAGGCAGTTCTTGTGGTCATGCTTATTCTGTGACATTCAGCATAAAGCTGAGTGTCAGCTGGAAAACAGAAATCAAGTTTAAAACCCTCTGCCTTCAAAAAGCATACACTTTAGCAACAGTACACAGAAAGTCTTTTCCATGAGTACTTTCTGCACAGCAAAGGAAGTTTTAAGGGTCAGGAGATAAGATAAAATGTACCATGGGAAGTGAAAGGAGGAGAGAGAGTAGGGAACTGTGAAGTCTTTGAATAAGAAAGAATTCAGGAAGTAAGGGTTGAAGAATATATAGAAAAATGACAGCTGAAGTTAGAGTAGCATTAAAAATGGAAGGTTTGAGTAAAAGAGATAAAGTGCTTTAAAAAAGATGATGGTTTAGAAAACAAAAGAATAATTTTAGTATTTTAACCTGTTTAACACATTTTATTAGAAAAAGATTAGTACCAAAGCAGCCACAAATGAAATAAAAATATATTAACATAACATTGGATAACACACATTTCAATCATCTTGTTTTCATTTTAAAATATAACCAAACATAGCTACAATTCAGTCTACTGAAGAATTGACATATCTAATTAGGGAAGAAGAGGGTTTTTTTTGTTTGTTTGTTTGTTTTTTCCCCCCCAGCAAATGTTCAAATTATTCATATTCCTGTTTTTCTGTGCTTAAATTACTAAAATATATTCTCTAATAATATTAACAATAAATAGAAGTTCAAATCATTTTCAGATGAAAGTTAATTTAACATTGATTACTTACAGCCCGTTACACATGTTAAAATTATTATAGAAAACAAAATAATATGAGTATGCTTACAACATTCAGTACAACAAAATTAAAAACTCCAAGATGATGGGTATGCATCAATTGAACATCACAGTATATTTTCTTTTTAACAAGGCTCTGTGTCAGCATTATGCATCTAGCAGGGTGAATCTTAGGTAGGAAGTTGAAGTTGGACACCACCAACAGCACAGGGAAAGATAATGAGGGAGGGAGAAACAAAGAGTGATAAATGAGGTGGGCTAAAAGTAGAAGTTTCCATTCTTTTATTTATTTTCCTTTGCCTTTCAATTTAGGTTATTCGGTTGTCTTTGGCTGATGCACTGACTTTTCAATGTTTCTCCTAATGACTTGAAATTGACATAGGAAGAGAACATGTTTCCTGCCTTAAGTCTCTAAACAGATTGAGTAGGGACTTAGGTCCTGTTTTGTCACTAATGTTGTCAGTAGAGGAAATAGTGGGAAACAAAGGCAACTGTTGTGTTCTCTATCATTGTCAATTGGTACGACAAATAGAGGAGAAAAGACTAGAGGGGAGATAGTGGGAAATCCTACGCCTCACGCATGTGTTTCTGTGAGTGTTGGGGGTGTGTGTGTGCGCATGCGTGCATTTTAGTGAACTTTGTATTTTTTCCCTTTCTCTAAGACTCAATGATTTTGTATTTTCACCCATCTTCTCTTTGAGGCCTGGCCCATTATATTGCTATGTACAAATTCATATCTATTTTATTTTTCTTGTTTTATACATGTCAATCTTTTTCTTACTCTTCATGTCTTGTGCAATGTCTGGTACTTATGACAGAATAGGGGGAGAGGAAAATTACTGCACAAATAAATGCATGTCTTCTTATCTATTGTATTCTTCTAATCAAAGTTTTATATTTCTATCCTTTATTCATCTACTTTAGTGTTGTAAAAATGATGGGTGGTGAAACTTACTCTGTTATCTCTCATTTAAGGAGATGTTACTGATATATTAATAAAAAGCTAGGATTCTTTTCTCTTCATAAAATCAATCATCATTATGACTTGTCCTAGGGACAATAAGAGATTTGTGGTTTCACTGAAAATGACTACACTGCCTAGGAGTATGAGTCATAGTATGGACTCCGTGTTCTTATAGAATACAGCCTCAGTAAGGCAAGCATGCCCTTGAGCACGAAGGTCTGTGAAAAACAGCTTGGAACACTGGAAGCAAGTATTAATTGTATTGCCAAGTGTCTAAATGTATATGTTCATTTTAAATAGACTTACTATTATTTCACATTTTTAAAAGACAAAATATTTTGCTCTATTATTTAAATTAGAAGCAAAAGGAATCTTTAATTAATGATTTCACTAAATCTGTTCTCAATGAAGAAGAAATATACATCCACTGTATATTTCAAGAATAAAACAAGAACAAAGAGGCTTAAAAGAAAAATGTTACCCATAACTCCTTGGAAATATTTGCCATCCTTGTAATCTTACCTTCTTCTACTTCAAACATTTCAAGAACAATTGCCCCTCCCAAAATATATACCTTGATGTCCGGTTTTGTAAATATGATAATAAAAAAGACAGATGAACTTCCTTCCAATATTTGAGTCAAAATATTTTGTAATGAATTCTATTCTGTTTTCCCTAGAGGAGTACGTTAAATTATAATGTCTAGGCATACTTTGAGGGAAGAAAAATCCTGGCACAAATCTTATTTCTGAAGCAAAGAAATACAAAATAATAGGCACATACTTAATATTTGAGACACCACAGTACACCACCCACAGGTGATTGTTAATACATAAGAGAATTACTTATTATACTAAGAATAGTGTCACTGCAGGGTAAAATATCAAAATTTCTCTCTTTGTCTTGTAAGGCTATTATGAAA
Source organism: Homo sapiens (assembly GCF_000001405.40). NCBI lineage: Eukaryota > Metazoa > Chordata > Mammalia > Primates > Hominidae > Homo > Homo sapiens. Next base: position 55,551,214 of record NC_000010.11, read on the forward strand.
ATAGAAGCTATCTGTAGTAGGTAGTAGTTTTAACCTCAAGATTTTTAATTCATAAAACTGAATCACACTGCTAAATTTAATTCAGCTGCTAATTCCTTATTCTTTCAGTTACTGTTGACAATAGCAATTTTATGGTTACCTAATCTAGTTTACAATTACATGCATTCTATGTGAAGGCTTTTAAGACAGGTTATATAGAATCCATTACAATATTCTTCAATAGCAGGAAAGTATAAATAATCTTTCAGTCTGGTAATAAGAAATGTATTTATTCTATAAGTAGTAATTTGTCAATTTGAGGAAAAAACATGTAACATTTGAAATCAGCTTGTCAAAAATATTTAATGATGTGTTTCCCAAAAAAGTTGGCAATATTGAAATGTGAGTAAAGTAGATTACAAAACAAATTAACCTCAATTTGTGGATATAATAAAAGGATATATGAATAGAGGAAGGACTCTAAGAATACACATTTTCAATATAACTGTAGTAACTTCTGAGAGCTATTACTGTGGTTGATTTTAATTATTATTTATAATTTTTAGTATTTTAAAATTGCATGTAATGAGTATGTACATATTGCGAAATCAAAGAGGAATAATGTGACTTTAAAAGCTATTCATAAATGTTGAATTTGAGCTAAATTTGTCCTTTTAATTTGAAAATTCTTGGCAGTAACAAAATGTCCACTTTCCCTTTACTTGTCTAAGTGTAAAATTTAGCATTATTTTTTCTTTATTCTTCCAATATCTGAAGGTTTTCCGTATTTAAATAACACATCTAAACTCTCGCTAAAAAGACAAGTGAAAAAACAAAAAGTATCCATATGCAAAAACACTGAATTGCACAGCAAATTTATTTATTGCTTTCTTACATCTCTATTATTCATACTGCGTAGTCAGACTTATTCAAGGAAGGCTTAAATGCTTTAAAATATCAAATAAAATATTGCCTTCTGGAATTACTCATATTAATTTCAAACTTCCTTTAATATAACAATATATCAATTTTTTCTAATCATTTAATAGAGTAGATTTGGGAGATTTCACTTCTACATTCCATGTGATTGAGGATAATGTTTTCATATTCTTTATTATTGTGAACAGATTTTCAAAATTTCTTAAAATAGAAACTCAAATGAAAGTATAATCTTTAAATAAATCTTAAAGGTACTGCCAGTATTTTTGCAATGATAAAATCTATTATTTTCTTGTGGGTTAATACTAAAGCCACATTATTAGTACTAGCTGTGCTATGTGAGGTAATAATAAAGCTGTTATTATAAATATAAATATTTCACTATAATTGTAACCTCAATTCCTATCTTTGTGTTCCCAAATCAAAAGCTAAGAATACTTTTAGAACAAGTAGTTAATTAGCACTTCATAATTTGAAAAAATATACAGTTGTTACAGTCAACATTTTATTGGTAGAGAAAATGATTATGGTTTTGAATGCATTCTTTTAAATTTAGTGAGTGAATTCCAATTCAAAATATACTTTGAAAATATTAACTAATGCATGACTTACAAATATTATAAAACATAATGGCTTTTATTATAAACTATTATAAATATATGTACTAAAAGAGAAAAAGTAAGCAAATCATTTTTTGCCCCATAAATGTGATTTTGTTTTCTTAAAATGCAGGGAATACTAAACAACGTTTACATTTTAGAAATAATTTAAACTTAAATATGTTAATCCATGTAATCTTGTGAAGAATTACATCAGTCACTTTGGTTATTTAATTAAAAGCCCATTAGGGAAAGAAACAAAACAAAAAGATAAACAACAAAGTGAGATACATTAATTGACTTACACAGAGTACACATGAAAGTTTTTATAAGTTTTAATTATATAAATATCTCTCAATTTTTCTTAAATTGCTGATTTCATAAATTAAGTAGAGATAATCATTGACCACAGAATAAGTGATGGTTAGATTCTTTCAGCAACATAATTTCATTTACTCTTTTCTACCGCTAGGTTAATAAAAAAAAAAAAAACATGAAATCCAAATTCATGTTATTTTGTGTGGTTCACCTCTGGATTTCTGATTCTCAAAGTACGCAAAGCAAATGTGAAGCATTCCATAAATAGCTGAATTATTGAGTAAATGTAATTCCTAAATTTTCATTAAACATAAACTTTCTATGTAATCCAGTAATTAAAATAAATCATTATTACTCACTAAAGGCTTTAAAATAGTATGCTAACCCTGAACAAAGTGGTGTTTTTTATTCTTTAAACAAAAACTTATTCATCATAAAAACATTAAAAATACTATTTTTAATGAATATTCATTGTCATTTTGGCACATTCCTTCCAATTTCTGTCCTGTGTAGTATCTAACACAGAGGTTGCAAGGAGACTCTGAATTTGACTTTCTCAGCCTGAATTTTTGTCCTCTTGTTCATTAGCTGTGAGAACAAGGATCAGTAACATAAACCCTGTATCTTAAATTTTTTTGTCTCAAAAATTAAGCTAAAACTTTTAACTACATTACAGGACTATTATAGGATTACATGAGTTAACTAATATGATGAGTATGTAGTTGAGAGTCTGTTACAAACTAAGTGATCAATATATATAAGTTCTGCATAATTAAGATGATTATGGTGATAATGACGATGCTGATATCTATACGTCCTTAAAGAACCTGACTATAAAAGGCACTGAAAAATAGACTCAATTTGGAAATGTTAAATATAAGTTTTTAATTTGTCTAGGAAGAACCAGAACCAAGTTTTAACATGTAGTTCATACAAAATACTACCTAAATTCTTCTGGGGTTCACAATTAAGGTTGTACTCTGTACTCAGGAAAATGTTTATGTCCATAACAAAAGATATGTAAAACTTGTGCTTGTTCCCACTACCTCTGTCCAGCCCAAAGAACTTTTTCAATTCCTGTTCAAAACCAGTGATCTAATAATTCTGAAGCAATATTCAAGAAGACTGGCATACATTCTCCAGTGCCACATTTGCATTAGGAAGCTGCAACATTTTCTAGTCTCAATTTCTCAACCTTTAAATTAGGCATAACTCTATTTTTCTTCGTTTTTGAAGGTATGGAAGAATAGATGATAAGATGTGTAAAAATAGTCTAGAAAGGTTTTTTAAATTTATTAATAGACTATATTGATAGTTTAAGATTTACAGACAACTTGAGCATAAATTACAGAGATCTCATATTCTTTTCCACTCAGTTTCCCCTGTCATTGACATCTTACCTTAGTGAGGTACAATTATTACAATTAATGAACCAATATTGACATTATTACAGTTGAACTTTCAACAACTTGAGTTAGGACTGTGCAGGGTCACTCCTATGAAGACATTTTTTAATCAAACACGGATCGAAAATACAGCTTTTGTGGGATGCAAAACCCACACATATGGGGGGCCAAATATTCCTATATGTTGCTTCTGAAAGAATGTATGCAGGACTTCAGTTTATGTGGATTTGGGTATTAGTGCAGGTGGTCATGCAACCAAACCCTGTGTAAAATGAGGGACAACCATATTAACTAAAGTCCATAGTTAATTTTGATTTCCTTAGTTTCTACCTAATGTCCTTTTATGTTCTAGTATTTCATCCAAAATACCACTTAAAATTTAGTTGTTTTATGTCCTTAAGCTCTTCTTGGCATTCCTCTTTTTGATGATATAGACAGTTGTGAGGCATACTGGCCAGGTATGTTATAGCATGCCTCTAAACTGATATTTGTCTCATGTTTTACCCCTGAAAAGGGTTTATGGGTTTGGGAAAGTCTAGAAAAGTTAATTAGAAGATATCAATTACTTCTTCCTTACTATTTGAAGAAAATCAGTATTTCCATAATTAATAAAGTAATTTTCTGTTTTGAAGACATTTTAAAATGATACATTAAAACAATCTTTGGGATCATAGAAGCTATTTCTAAACCAATTAAAATTATTACCAGTAACTACTATTTTAAGAAATCACTCTATGCTGAGTGTTTCAAGTCCACTTAATCCTCACAATGATTAAAAAAGATAGATCAGCTTATCCCTATCTTCAAAGCAGATGAAAAAATGGGCTCTTCAATTATATAATTTTCCCTTGTTCAAAAGCTCATCAGTAGAGCTGAGCCCTAAAGCTGCTTACTTCTGATTTCAACTACATCACCCAGTATTTTCAATATAAGAAAGCCGTTTTATTTTCTCTCAAAGTTCTTCTGCTTCTCCAATACTTAAAAATTCATTTAATCCTGCATTTATACGGATATCTTTCCCAGCTAATGGGCAATGGTTATGTGGTGTAGTTTTCCTCCTGGATAAATGTTTTATTATTCTCTAGAGATGCCTCTTCTCAATTTTTGACTTAAAGAAGGAGAAACAAGTAAGTGAAGACCACTTATTTTACACGGACTAGATTTAAAATTAATTATTAAGGAGAAATGTAACTATAGATGTAGAAAATATCCTATCTTTGAACTTCTGCAATCTTTGAATGACATGTTAGAAGTAATGAGGGTGCTTAGTGGATTTTTTTTCCTTTTAAGTGATTTTAAAGTATAGTCTAAAATGTACATGCATAGAAAATTAATAAAAATAATATGAAGAACACCAGAGAATCTGCCATACAGATGATGAATAAAATTATTAAAAACATATTTCAATGGCTCTCCATAGTCGCATTATTTTTCCTCCCCACAATTTGCCTGACATCATCCAAAGAAATCACTTCCAGTGTTTGTTCATTATCATTCAGATACCTTTTTTACTAGTTTTGCTTTATACTTAATGTATTCTAAAATATATTTTTTGCATATTTCAAACTTCTTTAAATAAGCTTCTTTAAATGTTCTAAATCTGACACTTTTTCTTTTTCTCTCTCTCCATATATACACACACTATAGCTCTAGATTATTAATTTTTATTTGTTGTTTATAATTACACCATAATTTATTTATTGGCCTAGTGGTGTTTATAATTACACCGTTACTTATTTATTGCCCTAGTGGTGAACACTTAGGCTTTTCCAAATTTTTGATAAGACATGTAATAATGACATGCTATAATGAAAAATATTACACATGTCATCTGGTTTTCATAGAAGACAGTTGCTTTGGGCCCTAAGATTTACATTAAAGAATGGAACTCCTGGGATATCTATTGCTGCATATCTTTGCCTCTACCATATATTGTGAACCTGCTCTTCAAGATGCTTATGCCAAATCATGCTGCTAATGGAAGTGGAAAATCCTATTGGTTTCTGATACTATATGCTTTTCCCCAAAACTTGCAACTATGAGATTGTTTTAATCTTATTTTTTGTAGACTGGGTTTAAAAGTTATTTACATTGGGCCAGGAGTGGTGGCTCACACCTGTAATCCCAGCATTTTGGGAAGCCAAGGTGGGCTGATCACTTAAGGTCCGGAGTTTGAGATCAGCCTGGCCAATATGGTGAAACCCTGTCCCGCAAAGAAAAAAAAAGGTACAAAAATTATTTGGATGTGGTGGCGCGTGTGCGTGCAATCCCAGCTACTTGGGAGGCTGAGGCAGGAGAATCGCTTGGACCCGGGAGGCAAATTATGAAGTGAGCCTAGATCGCACCACTGTACTCTATCGTGGGAGACTGTGTCTCAAAAACAAAACAAAACAAAAAAGTTTTTTACATTTTTCTTAACAACTAGTAAAGTTGAATATTCAATCATAATTTATTAATCATGTGTATTTGTGTATTTGCTCTTTATTGAATGTGTTTTCACATTGTTTGACCAATTGGCAGAGGGAAGGTTTCTTCACCTTATTGATTTTTATGAGTTCTCTGTATATTCTGGTGACTATCTCTCTGCTGCTTACATTTTGTGCAAACACATTCTTTAGCATTCCTGTTCACAATTGTACCAGTTTTAATATAGCCAAACTTATCTATCTTTTAATGTCTTCTGCTTTTAATCTGCAATATTTAGCACTAAAATACAAACCTAGTTGCAATATATTTTTATACATCTTTGATTTGATTTGCTGAAACATTTAAGTTTATTGAGTGAACACCCATAAGCAGATTGATCTGTAAACTTCTTTTATCATATTTTCATAACATAATAAGACTATTAGACTTGTAGAGTTTGTTTTAGATTATTCACTAATTTTTACTTTTCTGGAAAATATTGTGATATTAGGCTATGTGATCAGAACTGGTTACCATAAACTGGATTTGGTCAAAATCAACAAGTTAAATGTAGGGCTGCCATTATAAGCCAGAAGTGAATTCCATTATAAGCCAGAAGTGATGAATTCAAGATCATGCAGAAGTAGAATCAGAGAACACAAATAAACTGCATGAGACGATAGCCCCCTTGTCATCTCTCATTATCTTACTATGGCTTTTGCCTCATCTCAGGCTTTCATTCATTAGGGTTACCTTATGACCAAGTAATGGAGGTGAAAAAAAAGGCCCAGCTAGCTTAATAGATGGGTTTGCTTAATATGGGTTTCAGAGTAATGAAGGATTGCTGCTATCTTAAAGCCAAATCAATAGTGATCCCGAAGGACAGAAGTCAGAAAAATTTTCCCCATGGACACTCACTACTTCATTCATGTTTTCTGAAAAGAGGAAAGAACCGAGGTAAGAAAATACACTGACATATGGAAGTGGTAAAGAGTTTGGAGGTTTACTTAGTGGTCTGGGTATACAGAGATTAAAGGGGAGAGAAAGAGCATTGGGGAAAACCTATTTGATGGACTTATAGAAATATCAATAAGTTATGAAGACTCTTTAATCTCGTGTTAATGCTAACTAAATAATATTCACCATGGAGAGGGCACTAGACAACCAAGTAGATAAAATGACTATGCCAACTGACATCTGCTAACCTCTGTCATTAGATGGCCTAGTGCTGGCATAATAGATGCCTCAGTGAAGAGACTGTGGTAGCAGAGATGGAGGCTAATCCAGACTCCACAGCATGGGCTTCTGTTCACCAGGGCTGATTTCTTTATAGCCACTGCTTATTATATATTCTGACAGCCACAGAAACAAACGCTGGACACCTCACTTGGCACTATAGTTTGAGAGGATCAATCACTTTCTTGGGGACAAGTTGATGATATTGTGATCATCTTATTTTTAAAGAAGAAATAATTTGTCTGGATTGGAATTGACTCACATGATGGGTATGGGTTTGGTTTGCTTTTATGTCTGCAGGTGTTTAGCTACAACTTCTATCTAAGACCTTCAGAGTGCTTGAGCTGCTGAACAAGATCCTGCGCAATACTGCATTAACTCAAAGAACTCATTTTACATCTAATTTTTATTTTATATGAAAGTAATTCTCAGGGAATTGTTTTAAAACAACTGCAGAATATTTTATTTATAAAAATAATGTATAATGCCTATGCATACAATTAGTGTGCATTACAAAAGTACTTATTTATTAGCTTTATACAATTTTTAAACCAAACACTATACATAACATTATCTAGCATTGCCATAAATTTGTTTTAAACTTGTTAAAATGATACAGAATATAACTCAAATGACCTAGTAATATCATATGTTTCTATTCTCAGAATTTCCCCCTCACAGATTCCTGAAATGTTTTTCTTTCCATTTTACCTACCTTAAATAGAGGTAGTCTTTTAGTATTGCCTATAATGTATTTGTTATTTTTGTTGTTAGCATTTTAATTGAAGTGTAATACATGTACAGATACGTGAAAAAATATTATTGGTATAAATAAATCATCACAAAGTGAAAACATTTATGTAATCCCCACACAGGTAAATAAATAAATAACATTAACAGTTCTCTAGAAGTCTCCCTTATGTCACCTCCCAGTGCCAACTCTCTATCCAGACTCTATAACCATAGATTTCTTGTAAGCTTGCAGGTGTTATAACAGTATTTCATTCCTGATTATGGCCCTACACTTCCACCTTACATCTCACACAGCACTTTGTAAGGCACATCACAGATGATCAGGTAGGACAAATACCATGTCCCAAATAGAACCAAATGTATACCAATATAGTCGATGGGCCTATTATTACTCTAAATTAATAATAAAAAATATCATATAGTTATTCAAACTTCACATTGAATAACAGCTTTTTAATTTTGAAAAGAAGTGTTGTATAACAACTTTTGTTACATTAATATAATCAAAATACAGTGTAGTAGAGTTTTATTTTTAAAGAAGGATAATATGTAGAGACAATGATAAACTATTTTCAAAAGCAAATCATATGTGGCCATTATAAATGACAAGCACTATAAGGCTAGCTGCGGAATATTAGCATGTCATATGTGAGAAATGAATAAAATGATGTCATGGAGAATAGTATCGGAGCATTATTTACTTTATCACAAGTAAAGATAGTTAATAGGTTTGTTTTTACTAGTTTTAAAGTAGACCACTGATATTGAAATGTAAAAATTGTGTTCCATGTTAATGCAATACAAATAATTCTCACTAGAAAAAAAAATCCTAGAGTTGAATTTTCTTTTTTTTCATGGAGAAAGTTAACTGAACCAAAATTTCTGCCAGCAGAATTCAGTCTTACACATGTAGATGTGAAAGTGTGCATCTCCTCTCAACACAGCTTTCTTCAGTAATGACAGAATTTTTCCTAATAAAGAAAAATGTTTTTCAACATCCTGTAGAGTTCTCTTTACATAATATTTCAAAGTACCAAAAGACTCTTACAAACACTGTACTTTCCAATGATCACTAAAAAGGTCTCCAAATGCCACCATAGGAAAACTATTAAACAGGCAGTGATTATACGCCTAGACTCATACAACACTGTAGGCCATTAAGGACAAACCATTTTCCAATGCATTTAAGAGTTATATTAAAATAAATTCATGTGAACTTTCTACTCTCCTCCTTCAAATGTTTACAGACAAACATGTCGTATCATTTGTAAAATGGCCTGCCACATTTAGAAATTTGAATTAAATTTCTGTAATAATTTAGGTCCAGGAAAAAATGTATAGTGATTTTCCCCTCAGCCAGTAGAGGACATAATGAAGGAAAAAATGCAGGAAGATGGCCAGAACACAAAGCAGCACTTGATATGCACAATATTTTACAATCCAGTATTCTTAGACTGGGAATGCTTGATGTTTTTTCCAACATTGTGAATGGACTTATCACACCCAATAACATCCTTCATACCTTTGCACATCAATGAATTTGGTTATTTTCCTTCTGTCTTGGTTGTCCAATAGTGATTGCCTTAATTGATAGTGAATTAAAATTATCTGTGGAGCTTTAAAAAATATGTTCCTGAGTAACATACTGAGAAATTCTGACCCGTAATTCTATACTGAAACTTAGGAAATCCCAGATGATTATGACACCATATATCCAAAAGTAAGCATTTTGAAAGCACTAAAACCTTCAACACTTATCAAAACACAGTGAATTGTCATCTGTAAATCAATTCAGTAATGAAAAAGAGTAATGTCACCATGTAATATCAATGATCTTCAAACTTTCTCTTTTGTTGACATTGTATTTATTACTCACATTTCCACTTTCAAGTCCTGTGACATATCTGCAAGCTGTATTCCAGTGCCATTAATTAATATATCCTTTTTAGCCAATGATGTTAGATTTTTGGGCTATTAATAGATAAAGACTAACATGTAAATATAAATAAGGGAAATATAACATATAAATAAGGGAAACAGGAAAATAAAGAGTAACTTTTGTTGCAAAAATTTCACAAATGCAAGTCAAATTTCACAATTTTATTTTAAGTATTAAGAAATATGCCTTCTTTGGTGAAAATTATTTTCAAAACAAATTCAATAATTCATTTAAGATACTCTGGGAAGGTTATTTAGAAATGTTCTGGAGACAAAAGAGAATATATATTTTAAAAATAACTCAGGTGTTATCTAGGGAGTAACCTGAAAAATACTTTCACAGAACAAAGGTTAAGAAATTAATCTTCAGAAAGAAATTCAGGTAAAAGTACATGTCTAAAAAGACCTTTGAAAACTGGGAAGTTAACAACTTTTCACATCACTAAACATTTTATATAAACTTATTTTATTATAGCCAGATTAGAAACATACAGGCTACAGTTTTCAAAACTAGATTAATGTGAAACCCTTGGATTTTTAGGAAAATTAGTCTGTTTTTCTACTATCACAGCAAACAAAACTTTGTCATCATAAGTGCTTAAGAATTAGCTGGAATAGCTAGAATGTATTTATCCAAAAGTTGTCTGTATTTAAACTTTTGAACATGATAGGACAATAAAAATTGTTTATGAATGATAATAATATTTTTTCAGGTGTCTTAACTATAGTCTTTGAAAGAGTACAATTCCAAAATAGTATGATGTGAGGGCTGATGATAAGATGTTCCTGTTCCCAAATAGGCCTCTTAATCCACTTAGTACATAAATAGATTACATGAAGAGAGTACCACATGTTTGCCTTAAGACAAACATCTTACCTGGTACATTTTAAAACTAAGTATTTCAAGGAAATACCAGAGTAAACCTGTGGAAAGAGGAGAGCAGCCTGTTTTTCCAAGAGGCCAATAACTGACACTTTTCAAATTTCTTGAATTTGGATTCATTTTGGGGAGAATAGAAAAAAGAAAGTAGCATGGTTAGTAAAATAAGAAAAGAACCCAATATTATTAACAGTCATAACATTTGCTAGTAATAGAGACTGCCCCAGTTTAAAATTGATTTTTCAATTAAAATATTAAATGTCGTTTTATGATTTTTTAGTCTGGGAGGCAAGTCAGGAGACTTTTATTAATAGTCATTAACTGACAAAGCTTCTACAGTTGTGCTTTTTATTTAATATAACACATTAACCACAGACATCCTTTGATTTTCTGTCATATTTTCAATTCTCTGTCTGTACACGTTGTCTCAAGAGTAGCAACATTTGTGAATTTATTTTACAATTCATGATTTTGTCAGCATTTTAAGGGCTTACTGTTCCAAGGGGACATTATAACAAAGCACTGAAGAACACAGAACTTCAGTTTAGCTGGAAATTTATATTGGAATACCATTGTTGTCCCTTATTTACTGATTTATACACTGTTCATCAGTGAAATTGAAATAAGATTAGCTATTTTATACAGTTATTATAAGGATGAATTCAATTAGTTTTGAAATATTGGAAATATATGTATTTGATATAAAAACTTGTATATATTATTTTAAAAATATTTATTCATAATAGTTTAAAACTTTTGTTTAGCCTAATCTAACGTCATTTTCCAGAAAATAAATGTGAGGCATCATGTTCAGTAAAATGTGTAGAATCAAACTGACTGTATAAACCCAGCTTTGTCACTTAGTTGAGAAATGTGTCGTACATCTATAAACTCCAGTGTCCACGTGGCATACCTGAGCATACCAAGTCCTTGCTGAGATATGTAATTAAAAGATATGAAATCAATGCTCAGGAGTATGCAGGCACCCAAACAATAGTCATTAACTATTTATGTGATATTTAGAAGTTAAAATTGAAATGACTTTGTGAGAAATGATACGTGTGGGGAAAAGAGAAGGATGTATAAATTTTGGTTTACATAACTGGATAGACAGTGATGTCATTCACGGAAACATTGTGAAAGAGTCTGGTTTACAGAATTCTGGGAAGATGATGGAAAAGCAAGCACTGGAAATCTCTTTACACATAAGTAATAATTACACTGGCAAAATCTCTCTGATACAACTCTTTTGGAATTCTTGAATTTAGTGAAACTTACAAATTCCAGGAGAAAGCATGGATAATAAATTTTAGTTAATTTCAGCCGTTAGCTTAGGAGCAACTATCTATCCCCACCCTCAACCCCAAGACAGGGAGCTGTGCACGTATTTCTGCTGCAGCTTGCCTCTAGCTTGCAAAAACTACCATGAGCAAAAAGGACCACATCCTTCGGTTATCAAGGATCTGTGCTGTCATGGTTGATTGCTGCTTCTGAGCACAATGGTAGAGACAAAAAGGTGGTAGCCATTGTTTTTGCACTCCCTTCTTTTCTAAAACCCACTCTTCCTGGCTAAGGTGACTTCCAGGAGATTTAAAAGGCTGTTTGTCCCCCTACATTTTTCCTTTACCCCTTTGAGAAGTCAAACATTAAAGAATAGTATATTTCCAGAGCAACTGCATACATGAGGGAAATTAGAAAGTTTCAGTGTATCATCAAGAAATGGTGCAGGTTCATGAAATACTAATAAAAGTCTTTAAGTTTACAACTCAGGCCGATCTTCAGCACAGACACAGCCTGCAACAATATAAACAAAATAATAACAAAAACAGCAAGCCCTGGGGAAGGGAGAAAATCTGATTTCAAGATTTACCATTTAATTAAATTCAGATGTCCAGTTTTCAACAAATAATCACGAGGCACACACAGGAACAAGAAAGTATGGCTCATTTAAAGAAAACAGATAAAGCAAAATAGAGTCACCGAGAAAGACTTGATGGTAGATCTACTACATAAATACTTTAAAATAACCATTATAATGGTGTCCAAAAAACTAAAGGAAAGCATACAGAAAGTCAAGGAAACGATGAACAAAATGAAAATATCAATAGAGACAGAAAGGCTAAAAATGAACAAAAAAAATCAGGAGCTGAAAATTACCACTGAATGAAAATTCCATAACCTATCCCCCAGAGAATATATAAATTATTCTCATACATAAACTAAGGTAGTTCATTAACCGCTATAAATGCTCAAGGAATCCTGCAGCTTAAAATAAAAGGACATTAGATAGTAACTCAAAGCTATATGAATAAGTATATATCTCAGTAAAGGTAAACGCATGGACAATATAAAAGCTAGTATTATTGTAACATTGGTTTGTAACTTCATTTTTTATTTTCCACAGACTTCAAGAGACTAATATATTAAACAATTATTAGTCTAAAGTTCCCATTATTATAACTTTGGTTTGTACATCTACATTTTGTTTTATACATAATAGAGAATACTAATATATTTAAAATGATTATGTTTTTGAATGCACAATGTATAGACATAATTTTGTGACATTAATAACTAAAAAAATGTGAATGAAGATGTTATAGGAGCTGAGTTTTTGTATATTATTGAGCTTTTGCTAATATACATTCAAATTAGAGTATTATAATTTTAGAGTGTTGGCGGTTAATACTCATGGTACCCACAAAGAAAATAATTATAGAATATACATTAAAAAACGTATGAAAGGAATTTAAATTTTCACTACAAAATATAAATTCAATACTAAAAAAGCTACAAGGCATCTAGAAAATAAATAACAAAATGACAGTTACAGTTATCTTCTTATTAACAATTACTTTAATTTTAAATAGCAAAGCCCTTCAAACAAAAGACTGATACTGGCAGCATGGATTATGGCCATGATCCAACTATATACTGTCTAAAAGAGACTCACTCTATATCTGAATACACAAACAGATTGAAAGTGAAAGGATAGAAAAAGACGCTCCATGTAAACAGTAACCATAAGAGTACTGGGGTGGTTATATTAATACCAGATAAAATAGACTTTAAATAACTGTTAAAAGGCTGCAAGAGTCAAAGGAGGACATAATATATTAATAAAAGGTTCAATATTCCAAGAAGCTATAATAAATATCAACATGTACATAACAGACTATTAGAAGGAAATTTTGATATAAATGAAGGAAAAATAAATAGTTCTACAATAATAATTGAAGACTTCAAAATCTACCCTTAGTAATGGATAAACCAATCAGAAGATAAGTAAAGAAATAAATAACAATAGAGGACTTAAAAAACACAATAAACCAACAAGATGTAAGAGATATTTACAGAATATTCTACCCCACAACAGAATATGCATTCTTCTCAAGTGCACATGGAATGTTTTCCAGGACGGATTATGTGTTAGGCCACAAATTACATCTCAATAGGTTTAAAAGATATCATACAAAGTATCTTTGCCAACTACAACAAAATTAAGTTAGAAATTAGTAACAAAAGAAAAAGTGGAAAAATCAAAAAATATGTGGAAATTAAACATGTATTTCTAAATTACCAATTGATCAAAGAAGAAATAACAGGGGAACTGTACAAGTATTTCGAAATAAATGAAAACTAAATCACAACATGCCAAAATTTATGAGACATAGAAAAAGCAGCGCTAAGAGAGAAATGTATAGCTATAAATGCTTACATTTAAAAGTAAGAAATATTTTCTTTTAATTTAGAAAAAGACATATCTCAAATCAACCACTTTACAACTTAAACCAGAAAAACAAACTGAAGGCAAGAAGAAGAAAGAAGATAATAAAGACTAGAGCAGAGATAGACAAAATAGATGATAGAAAAACAATGAAACCAAAAGTTGGTTGTTTGAAAAGATCAACAACGTTAGTAAACTTTTAGCTAGACGGACTAAGAGAAAAAGAAGACTCAAATTACTACAATGAGAAATGAAAATGGTGACTTTGCTATCAATTCTACAGAAATAAAATGGACTATAAGAGAGTACTATGAAAACTTGTATGCCTAGAAATCTAATTACATATGAAATGGAAAAATTCCTAGAGATATAAAACTTACCAACACTAAATAATGATAAAATTAAAAATGTAAATAGACTGATACCTACTAAGGAGACTGAACCACTAATAAAATATCTCCTGACAACAAAAGCCCTGGACCTGATGGCATCACCAGTGAATTCGATAAAACATTTAAAGAACTAGCATCAATCTTTTTCAAACTTTTCCAAAAATGCTGTCATGAGGGAACATTTCCAAAACTCATTCTATAAGACATCATTACCCTAATACCATAGACGTATCCTTTATAAACACTGATGCAAAAATCCTCAAAAAATTTCTAGCAAAACAAGTTATTAAGCAGCAGATTAAAATGATTACAGACCGCAAGCAAAAGAGATTTATTAATATTAATGGAAATCAAAGATATTTCAACATACAAAAATTGTTAAATGTAATATACCATATTAACAATGAAGGGTAAGAATCACATGGTTATCTCAATTGATGCATAAATAGCATTTGGCAAAATTTTATACCCTTTCGTGATTTAAAAAAAACACTCAACAAAGTAGAAATATAAGGAAACCACCTTAACCTAATAAAAAAATTCATATATAAAAGTCCCATATAAAACATCATAGTCAATCGTGAAAAACTTAAGAGTTTTCCCTCTGTGATAAGCAACAAGGCAAGGAAGTCTGAGCTTACTACTATTCAATATAGTACTAAAAGATCTGGCTAGAAAAAAATATGAAAGGAAAAGAAAAATAAAAGGCATAAAATTGGAAAGGAAGAAGTCAAATTATCTTTGTTTACAGAGAATATAATCTTATTTATAGAAAACGCTGAAAATTCCACTAAAATAGTAGAACCAATAAATTAAGTCACCACATAAAAATCAAGTGCATATCTATACAATAACAAAGAATAATCCAAAAACAAAATTAATAAAATAATTTAATTTGCAATAGCATCAAAAATATAAACTATTTTTATTTAACCAAGAAAATAAAAGACCTGTCTTATAAAAGCTACAAAACATTCCAAAAGAAATTAAAGAATATAAAAATGAATGGAAAGGCATCTCATATTCATGATTGGAAGACTTAACATTGTTATAATGTCAACACCACAGATTCAATGCAAATCTATAGACTTAACGCAATCCCTATCAAAATCCCAATGATGCCTTAAAGCAGAAATACAAAAAACTCATCCTAAAATTCATAGGAATTTCAAGAGACTCCAAATAGCTAAATTGATCCTAGAAAAGAACAAGCTAGAGCACTCAGACTCCTGATTTCCAAACTTACTATAAAGCTACAGTAATCAAAACATTGTGGTACTGGCATAAAGACAGACATATGGACCGGTGTAATAGGAAAGGTTGCCTAGAAGTAAAGTCTCACATGTATGGTCAAATGATTTTCAATTACGGTGTCAAGAGTATTCAATGGGGAAAAGGCAGTATTTTCAATAAATGTTGCAGGGAAAATTAGATATCCATATGCAAAATAATAAAGTTGGATCCTTACTTAACACCATATACAAAAATTTAGTCAAAATGGATCCATGACCTAAATGGAAGGCCTAAAACTATAAACTCTTACAAGAAAGATAAGTTTTAATACTTCAGATTTGGCAATATTTTTTAATAAGACACCTGACATTCACAAAACAAAATTAAAAAGAGGCAAACGGGCTTCACAAAAAGTAAAAAAAAAAAAGAAGATGAAATAAAAATGCATGCATCAAAAGAAAATTATAACTACAGTAAAAGGCAATTTACCTAATGGAAGAAAATATTTGCAGAACATATATCTAGTAAAGGATTAATATTCAGAATATACAGAGCACTCCTAAAGCTCAATAACAAAAAACAAGCAACCTGATTCAAAAATGGTCAAAATACTTGAATAGACATTTATCCAAAGAAGATATACAAATGGCAAATAAACACTTGAAAACATGCTCAACATCACTAATCATTAGGAAAATGCAAATAAAAACTACAATGAGATTATTTTGTAGTTCATAAGCGCGATGACTGGGTGTTCACACACAGGTGCAAGTTGTGCCACCCTCGAAACTTGTTACACCGTTGGCACATTACCCATCAGACATGAAAAAAAAAACTACAATGAGATACCAGCCCATACCCATTTAGGATGGAAGCTATCAAAATAAAACAGAAAATAATAATTTGGTAAGAATGGAGAGAACATAAAACCCTTGTGCACTGTTAGTGGGAATAAATATAAAATGGTAAAACTGTTGTGAAAAATAATATGGTGAATCATCAAAAATTCAACATGAAATTACCATATGATTCTGCAATTCCATTTCTAGGTATGTACCCAATAGTTTCTTAAATATGTATTTTATACCCATGTTGTTAATAGCATTACTAATAATAGCTAAAATTTAGAAGCAACTCAAGAGTCTATCAAGAGTAGAACGGATAAGCAAAATGTGGTTTTTGTATACAACAGAATATTATTCAACCTTAAGAAGGGAGGAAATGCTAATATATGCTACAACATGTGTGAACCTTGAGGGCGTTATATCAAGTAAAATAAGCCACTCACAGAGAGGCAAATACTCTATTATTCGACTTATATGAGGTACTCAGTGTAGTCAAAATCCTCAGAACAGACAGTGAAATAATGGTTGCCAGGTGCTAATGGAGGGAAAATTTTTCAGTTTTAAAGATTGTAAGAGTTCTGGAGATTGACAATAATGACGACTGAACAATAATATAAATGTGATTAATGATAATTACATTATGTGTATTTTTACCAAAATACAAAATTGGAGAATATAAACAAATAAGAATAAATAAATAAAAAAACAAATCAAACAAAAACCCTGGCTTAAAAGAACAGAATTATGAGTTTGGCTTTGAACAAGCTAATTTGACATGTTATCGGGACTTCCAAAAGAGGATTCAAGTATCTAATGAAATATAGTTAATTTAATGCCACTTATTGCTATTGTCATTCACAGATTCCACACTCAGAAGTTGGAACAGAAAATGTAATTTTTTGAGTCATCTGCACAGATCCTTGATCACTAGGGATGCTCTGGAGATAGAACAGCCTCACGTTATTCATCATTGAGCAAAGATACCCAGGTCTTAAAGCCATGTCCTCGCTGCATCTGTCACTGCATGCAGGATTCTGGGAGGGGTAACTTTGAGCAAGGCAGCTGTGTGATGCTAGTTGAAATCTCTGAGAGAGGGAATGGTGGAGAGAGTGGTGTTGCTGAGAGCGAAAGAATGTTTGCAGAAAGCACTCCCTAATGCTGGGACAACATGTCCTCCTTTGAAGAGGCAATAAGGCGACAAATCACTTTGTCCACAATTCTAGTTATGCATCACCACATCTACCGTACTCCCATGTAATATGTTTAACTTGGTCCCTCCTAAGCTACTAATGACCTGGATCTATAAGATATACATTTAAGAATGACTACCATAAATATTCATTTAAAAGAAGTATATGGTTTATGGACCATGAAGATATTAAAATTACCTATGCAATAAGATGCTTCAGTACTTTCAAAAGTATCAAACAAGATGTGATAGACCTTTACTGCAGATGGAAATGCAGCAAGATAAACCTTTAGCTTTCCAGGTCATATATAAGCATCTGTTATAAGTTCCCTATATTTAGTGTTATGCTCATCCATACTCTGTCCACTTCTAGGACAACAAAGGGCAAAAAGTGTTCATTTATTCAGGTGTGGAAAGGTTAATTACTCAAAAAATAAATTTTAAAAACAATCAAAACAAACAGAAATTTCCAAATTGTATCAAATACTCAGAGAACTCATCCTTGATTTTTCAAAGAATTTTCTAAAAAAAAAAACCAGAAACAATAATTTCAAATGAAACATCATGATGAGAATATCTTCAGAATATTTTACTCTGTTTCTAAGGAAATGTGGGTGAGTCCTACATTACTGAAAGTGGTCTTCGTTTTCTCCAAATATGCTATTTTCAGAAATAAGAAAACGTAAAGCTCAGTAAAACACTGTAATAAAAAGTATGATATTTAATGTAAACTCATTCAGAGTAATCGTGTGAACATGGTTCTATTTCTGTCTATGTCTATACATCATCACCCTAATGCCAGTAAATTTATTTTAAACTAAATATTGGTCTCCTGAGGCAGAGGTAATACAATAATAATAATTTAGAAAAAAATTTACATTTTAACACTGCCACTTTTTCATAATAGTGCTATTTTTCCCTACATAATGCAAAAACACAGACAAATCCAAAAAGCATATTTGTGCCTTAAATTGGGGCAAAATAGAGCTTTTTTTTCTCAAACATGGGATAGTAAGAAGAGCTTTCATCTTAAATTCTTACAGTTAGTTGAATTGTTTACACCAACATTGCATTTTTATAAATAGC
The DNA here is from genome assembly GCF_000001405.40 of Homo sapiens. NCBI lineage: Eukaryota > Metazoa > Chordata > Mammalia > Primates > Hominidae > Homo > Homo sapiens. The sequence continues at coordinate 55,570,140 of NC_000010.11, forward strand.
TTCTCTTTGTTTCTTAAAAATACTAGAATTTCATGTTGCATTTTTTGACAGCTTTATCGTCTGTAATAGTCATGTTTAGAAAAGACCTGGCAGGTGAACAAATACAGCCAACAAGAAGTAGAAAGACAAACATTATTAAGAGGTTTTTGACAATTTTTACAGAGAAAAATATTTTATAAAAGACAACCCTGTTCACATTTTAGAGCTAGTCTTCATAAGTGTCTAATACAACACTGGATGATTGTAGGCATAGTTTTTCACTTAAGTATTAATAGAAATAATTTATTACTAAAATATTCATTTATTTTTAAATTTAAGTTAGAAAGAAGTTTGCTGCTTTCTGATATGAAATTTTGAAGCTCAGGAACCAATTTTTTTTCTTTGAGAACACATCTCTGAAATTACAGTGTCAGTCAATGAGAAATATGGCTTGATATTCAAAGAGCATAAAATCTGATTTATATATGACTTTTAAGAATGTCTTCTTGTATAAAGTAATATATATTTACTTATTCTATGAATGCAGTGATTTATACTATACTGCAGGATTTACTATGAGATATTTATCATATCTTTGCCTATATACATAAAGGCAAAGTGGAAAATGTTTTCAAATGCTATTGATTTCCATCCAGACTTAATGAAAAGCCTGACCTTCTGAAAACAGACTTATTATCACTACTTCCTTATTAGCTGTTATACACTATTTCTTCTTTCAAGTGTTATCGTCTGTTTAGCTTGGCATTAGCAAAGGCAATAATCATTACTTTTAGTTGTTCCCCATGTTAAAACTTTTTTAAGGCCACTATCATAAAAGCAATATCAAAAGCAAAATTCCCTAAATATAGAATATAGTTTGGATGTTTTCTCCCCTCCAAATCTCATGTTGAACTGTGATCCCCAGGTCCGTTGAAGGTGGGTCCTGTTGGGAGGTGTTTGGATCATGGCAGGTGGCTCCCTCATGAATACCTTCGTGCCTTCCCTGCAGTAATGAGTTCATGTGAGAGTTGGTTTTTAAAGGGCCTGACACTTCACCACTCACTCTCTTGCTCTCTCTTTTGCCATGTGATGCACAGGCTCCCACTTTGCCTTTCACCATGATTGGAAGTTTCCTGAGGCCTCACCAGGAGCAGATACTGGCACTATATTTCTTATACAGCCTGTAGAACTGTGAGCTAAATAAACCCCTTATCTTTATAAATTATGCAGTCTCAGGTATTCCTTACAGAAACTCAAATGGACTAACACAATATTTTTAATGGAAAGAAATGTGAATGGCTTTATGAGCACATTAGTTCTCATACAAATACAAAACATATAGCTTAAATATGAAAAAAGTAATAAGTAAATATCATTATTAATAGGTAATAATTTAAGAATTCCACAGTGAAGAACTCCTTCATTACACATCAATGTGTACCATAGGAACCACAGATAAGGTGGCAACTAGAACAAATCTCTTCAAATTAGTAACTAATCTTTCAAAATCTGTTATTAGGTAAAAATATAATAATTGTATTTCAAGTATTACATTGACTTTGCTTAGATTAAAATCACACATATGAGACAACTGCATAATCTGAAATATAAATTTAGGGAGAATGAGCTACAAATAAACACTAAGATAGTGAGAAAGATAGTAGGGAATTGGACAAAGATATTCCAGTTTATACAAGCCTGAGATTAAGTATGCCAACTTGCCTTAGATTCTTGAAATTTATACTTTATCATCGTATGCACTGTATCTTTGCAAAGCAATAAAAGTGTGTAAGGAACCAAGAATGACATAAGTCTGCTAGGATATTTTTTATATGCCACGTGTCTTGCTATAAACTTCCTTCAAATAATTCTGATTGTAACAAAAATATCATTTTAATTGTTTTCAATATTTTATGAAGTTGTAAAATATTCCCAAGGAATGATTATCAGACAAATACTTGGCTCTGTGCTCTCTTTAGAGCAGTTTTCCACCTTGGGAAACTGCTTTTGAGATCAGCAAAATAAAACTGCTGATATTTTTAGAGCCCATACAGTAATGTTTAGAGAAGTTTTCTGGTTTCTTTTTGGATACAGGTACCCCAGAATTATTTAAAGTAATATTCATAAAAGGACTGACTTATGATATTTAATATAAAATGAAAGTAATTTATATTAGAGTATATAAAGTATAGTGAATATTCAAAAAGCTCCAATACATTCTGTCTCCTTCACACTTGTTTTTAGTTCTGAAACTAATACAAGGATTTAGAAAATAGGACTTTATGCAATATAAACCACCTAGCTAGTATATTAATATATTATAATTTTTAAATATTAATTATTAAAAATTATTTACTGCCTTCATTATGCCAAGCACTCTTCTAAGCACTGAAGAAATGCAATGATCAAAACACATACAATTATGCTATCTTGGAATTTACAGTCCATGAGGAGTAAGTGAGGAGAGATAAACAATAAACGAGGAAACAAGCAAATACAGAATATGTCATGTACGGATTTTGGTTGTGATGAAATATAAATCACGTAAGGAAGGAAATGGTGGTGCAGGTGTTGAGGGCAATATTTCAGATGCTATGAGAAAACAGGTCTCTCTGTGAAGGTTTCATTTCAGCAGAGAGCTGAATGAAATCAAGGTAAAAGGCATGCTGATCATTAGGGAACAGAGTGTTCGTGTAAAGTGCAATAATGAAATTGAAAAGGTCTAACTTGATGTGGTTTGGGGTACCCGAAGAGCAGCAAGATGACTAGTATGGCTGAAGCAAAGAAGCAATGCATGGTAGAAAATTATCTCAGAGAGGTCACTAGAACAAATACACTGATCTGTTTGCAGTGAATTGATTCTTAAAATTTTAGTAATTATGATGTTATATTTACTCTATTAGACAATGTGACAAGAAGAATGGATCATTAAAGAGGCATAAGTGGAAAACACCTGTTTCAAGATATGTAGTGCTATGATAACACCAAGGGAATACATTTGAAAGCATTAGTTTGCAGCTGCAGATGTAATGAGTTTCTCTAATATTACTTCTTTGTAAGTGAAAAGGAGCTGAGAAAATTAGATGACAAAAATTCTAAAAATGTTAAAGCAACAAAGGTAAATGTAATTAGATGTGAGGAATGTTCAACTGCCAACTGGCAGTATAGCTGTACTTGAAAGAAATTGATGGACCATCTAACAGTTCTAGTCCCTTATATTCCAGCAGCCACTTCCTGAAAAAATATTCAGTTGGGAAGAAAGTTAGATACCAGGATCTGTCTTTCAAGATGAAGCTTCTTGAAACTTCTTCTCTCAACATTGTAGTTTAAACGGAAGTTTGAAATAATTACAAGTTTTCAATAATTCTACTACATTTCTTTATTGTATATTAGGGAATTCTGTCATTTGCAACAACACAGATTCCATCAAATTTTATGATCTCATTGAAAAGCTGCTATATTTGAAAATAATCAAATGTAAAAGTCTATTTCAAAGCTTTTGACATTTTAACTGTTTATCAAAAGAAAATTCGAATTAGTAATAATTTTCAGATTCAATATCAAATTATGTAATAACTCAGCATATACTTCACACTAAGCCAATAAGGTATGCTTACTGTTTTGATGTGTTTTTATTTGATGGCATATCCTGCTAGACTCAAAGTCTGACCCATTTTCTGTGTAAAACAATGTATGGTCTATGATGTTTCCATTTCTTATCTGAAAGCAATGATTTGTAACATTGCTTTATTTATTGTATATTATTATAACGTTTCTTTTAAATATATTAATATATAAGCTAATATTCATGTTACCACCATTAAATGAAAAACATGCTAGGTCATAGTGTGGTATCCTTATTAATATAACATAATATTTCTGTAAAATTTGAAATTTATTCTTGGTTTTATTGTCACAAAAAAACCACAATGAAGAATGAAACAACTGCTTTCAGAGCCAATATATTCATCCAACATTTTCACTCTAAGACCCAATCAACATTCTTTGGTCTTTAAATGTTAATGTGTGCACTGTCAAATGATTCCTTAGTCATGAGTTTTAGCAAGTTATAACTGGATAGTTTTCTCTATTACAGAACTTTTTTGAGTCTGACATACCATATATACAATATGACAATGAAATAGTGGTAATTCGTAGGTTTCTCTGAATGAACATATTTCTATGTCCTTGAAACACTATTCCATGGAGCAGAGCATGGGAAAAGATGTTTCTGTACCACAATTTCTAGAGACCAGGACATAGATCTTAGTATCCTAACCTCTTCCCTCTTAGAGCCTTCCTTTCACAGAGTAGGCAATCAACTTTAGAACTATCAATGAATATCACAAAACAATGTCAGAGTATTGCTTTCCAAGCCTCCTGCTATTGGCAACATGAAGGATAATGTAGGTAGGCAGTGGGGAATATTTTATTTTCCCCTTTATAATCTGAAATCTACTAGTGGACAGCAAATATATAAAATTTTTAAACTTGGAATCAAGTCACACCTTAGTTTCAGGGTGCCAATTATCACAAACTGTAAAACTCTATACTTTTAATGAGAAAAGAAAGAAAAATATGGTGATAGTATTTTTGACAGAACCAACAATATAATAGACAATAAAGATTTTATGTCCCTGAGTCAAATGCAGCTGCTGCAAGAACCTGAAAACTCTATGAGGGTGGATATTATACTAAGGAAACCTGGGGAGGATAATAGTTTATCTATCTTCTTATTGTTATATTTCTGGCTCCCTTTATAGGACCTCATTAATAATAGACTTTTAGTAACATCTCTTGATGGTTGAACCTAGAAAATGTATGATTATTTTCAACATAGTTATCTCTATATATACTTTCAAATAGGAAGCAAAGTAGTAATAAAGTGTATAATTCCTTCAAATTATTTCAACTCAGAGCTTTTACTCACAAAAATCAGAGCTCTTCCTTGGCTCTCTTATTTGACCTCTGGTCCTAAGGATTGCAGTGGAAGCAGTTAACCTCCATCTATAACACATGATCTGAATCAGTTTAGTAATATTGATTTCTGTAACTTCCCACTTATTAATATATAAAAGTGTTATAGTCACATTGGTCCAAATTTGACATTTCCAGAATACTTCCAGTTTTTGGTTAATATGTCAAATTTGTAATCTTATAAGGACTTAAGGCCCATCCTTACAATCAGAGGTAAAAAAAGACAAATAATGTTTTCATAGAAAACCGTGCAGATTCAGTTATTGCCAGAAAATACCCAACACATAAAATTTTGCCAAATAAAAGTGTATGTTTTTTCAAAAGTCTATTTTCCAATGTTTGAGGTGGGGACAATAGACTTGGTAGCCAAATGATACCATTAATTCAACCCCATACTGGAAAACAACAAAAAATAATTTTTAGAGAAAACTTATGTCCTTAGTTTGTAACGAAGTGTCTATAAAAGACTAGTCTTTCAGAGTAGATTTATTTCTAATTGAAAAGCTAAATTATCAACAAATGTTAACATTTTATAAGTGGTAATTGCCACTTACTATTTAGTTGTCAAATGTGCATGTCCGCAGTGCATTCCTCTCCAAGATGCTATTGTCATTTTCTGAAAGTACCAAAAACACATTGCACTTTAATACTGTTAGACACTTGGAGGAAATTCACGAACAATTCCCTTTGGACTAGCAATGAAATACCACACTTGAATATCAGCCTTACTTCTTCAAGGTACTTAGAAAAGGTCATTCATTCAGAAAGAACAAAACCAAATAAAGTTAGATACTCTCTGAGAGGAGGCTTGCTTTGATAGTTGTATTCACATCTTTACCAATTAACATGCTCTAGAATGGGGCATCCACGTGTGGTATGCTTCACGATGAACCGTTCACTTTCACTCTATTCACCACCTCACTGAATACTCTTAGTTTATTTGAGTTGAATATTCAGTTGACTCTTGAACAACGTGGGGGTTGCTGCCTATTGTGCAGTCCAAAATTTGCATATAACTTTTGACTCCCCCGAAATTTAACTGCTACTAGCAGTTAATAGATAATAGTTGACTGGAAGTCGGTGATAACATAGTGAATTAACAAATATTTTTCATATCATATGTATTATTAATATATACCATATTATTAAAGGTTAGAAAATGTTACTAAGTAAATCATAAGGAAGAGAATAATGTATGTGCTGATAATTAAGTGTAAGTGGATCATCATAAGGGTCTTCGCCCTTGTCATCTTCACACTGAGCAGGCTGAGGAGAAAGAGGAAGGGCTGGTCTTTCTGTTTCATGGGTGGCAGAGGTGAAAGAAAATCCACACATAAGTAGACTCATTCAGTTTGAACTCGTATTGTTTAAGGGTCAACTGTATTACACTTTGTGATAAGGATAATGTGTGTTGCATGTTTGATGTAATGCTACATGGAAATGAATACTCCCAAATGGGGTAATGGTCAAATTTTCTGAAGGATTTGTAGCAAGATTAATAAATTTCATCCATCCACAAAATGTTTTTAGTTTCAAATCAATATGAACCATTAGAAAAAAGTAGATGTGCTTGATGATTAAATGAATTTTGTAATAAACTTTCATTTATATACCAAAACCAAAATAACAGATATCTAAAAAAAAAATGCCTAAAATGAAAACATAGAGTTGGACAAAATAGTGAAAGCAATAATATTTACCTGTTTAACTAAAATTCTATTAAAACATGAGTTATTTGCATCTCATCTCCAAAACAAAAATAATTTCTCAAATTCATTGTAATGTCAAACTATGTATGTGGGTACATGCTTTGAAGTATAATATATTTTACTACAAAAATTCAAAATTGTTTAAGAAGTGTTTTGAGGCCAGGCATGGTGACTCATGCCTGTAATCCCAGCACTTTGGGAGGCTGAGGCAGGTGGATCACAAGGTCAGGAGTTTGAGACCAGCATGGCCAATATGGTGAAACCCTGTCTCTGCTAAAAATACAAAAATTAGCTGGGCCTGGTGTTGCACGCCTGTAGTCCCAGCTACTCGGGAGGCTGAGGCAGAAAAATTATTTGAACCCAGGGGTGCAGAGGTTGCAGTGAGCCAAGATTGCACCACTGCACTCTAGCCTGGGTGACAGAGTGACTCCATCTCAAAACAAAACAAAAAGGAAACAAAAGAGAAGTGATTTGAATTCATATTTAAACTTGGCCAAAATTTATTTTCAGATTTTATTTGTACATACACAAACATATAAAGGTTTAGAAAAATTTTTAGATCTTTACATTTATGCAGTTGTTATATAACTAATGTCAATTTTAATATTATACTAAATTCTGTGGAGATACCTGAAGAAAAAGAAAGAATAATTATTTTAAGTCAACTATGTATTTATACTACAACTATTTATTCCAGCCCTACCCTCCAGAACTTATTAGTTTACTTAAAATCATGTAAATTATTATCAGTAACTATTTTGAAGACTTTTTATGGCATTGTTTTATATAAAAACGAAAAACACTGTTCTTATGGGTAACCACCATATTCCTGGTAAAAGACAAAAAATAAAATATATTGAAAATTGAAAAGAGTCAGTTAACACTGGTTTCAACAGAAATTAATTTTGGAGATAAAGTCTAATGTTAAATTCACCTTGGTGATCAATCCACACAACCTATGGCTAACAGCATTCTTAAATGTGAATTCAGTTGTTAATTTGCTGACATCTTTTATATAAAAAAATAAGAATCATAATGAATCTTTTCACAGTAGTAAATTAAATGATTTGAATTTCTGAACCCTTCAGAAAGGAGAAATTTAACTTTTAAAACGTCCATCTTTTAATTAAGAAAGGTTAAAGTTAGGAGAGAGAGAGAGAGAGCAACTGTTACTTTTCCAGTCCCTGGATTTAACCATAACAATTGAAAGTGAAAAATTTCTAAAAGTTTCTAAAATTTGTTTAACCTTAAGAACCAAAACAGGTAAGGTTAATATACCCATGGCTTTAAAAAAATTACAAATACTTCTGAATGTTTTAAATTGCCTCTTTGTCTAATTAAGCCAGGTTGAAAGTTCAAATTAACTGAAACACAGGATTATTTTATATTTTATTTTATTTATCTTATTTTATTTTATTTTATTATTTTTTTGAGACGGAGTCTCACTCTATCACCCAGGCTGAAGTGCAGTGGCGCGAATTCAGCTCACTGCAATCTCCACCTCCTGGGTTCAAGTGATTCTCCTGCCTCAGCCTCCTGAGTAGCTGGGATTACAGGCGCCTGCCACCAAGCCTGGCTAATTGTTTTTGTATTTTTAGTAGAGATGGGGTTTCACCATGTTAGCCAGGATGGTCTCGATCTGCTGACCTCACGATGCGCCCGCCTCCGCCTTCCAAAGTGCTGGGATTACAGGCATAAGCCACTGCGCCCGGCCTGAAACACAGTATTTTAAAGTGATAATTCCCAATGTGTCATTCATTATATTTAGCTGAATTATACCAACCGCACTTTCATTGACGTTGATTTTAGTTTTAATTCAATGTGTGTATTAGTTCGTTCTCACACTGCTAATAAAGATATACTCGAGACTGGGTAATTTATAAAGGAAAGAGGTCTAATTGACTCACAATTCCACATGGCTGGGGAGTCCTCACAATCATGTTGGAAGGGGAAGGGGGAGCAAAGTCACATCTAACATGGTGGCAGGCAAAAAAGATAGTGTGCAGGGGAATTCTCATTTATAAAACCATCAGATCTCGTGAGACTTATTCACTATCATGAGAACAGCAGGGGGAAGATCCACCCCCCTATGATTCAATTACCTCCCACGGGTTCCCTCCCATAGCATGTGGGATTTATGGGAGCTACAATTCAAGATGAGATTTGGGTGGAGACACAGCCAAACCTTATCAATGTGAAAATAGAAGAATATGCACAAGCTCTTGATGTTAGTTCTCCATTTTAAGCATGTTTATTTTTTCAAACTTTTGTGGTTTTGGAACAAAAGAGAATTGTTAATACTTGTTAATTTAATAACAATTTTTTATATAGCATATGTGAACTATAGTTACTGAATTTAGAATTTCAAAAGAAACAGTAAATTACACAGAAATATCTGATTGTATTACTATCACAAATCTCCAATTCGAAATACTTTTAGATGAGTAACAATATAAAAGTACTATAAATGTACTTTAGACGTTTCAGTAGCTAGATGACACAATTATCATAGAAGTGAGGGTTTTTAAATGATTTCAAAAGCATTATTAGTGTAACGCTTCAAACATCAGCTCCTTCAGGGAGTAATTCCTGATTAGTTCCATACTCTCCCTTGGATCACCTACTTGTACAACTCATCTCTGTAACTGTCCTTAACTACTCATCTCTGTAACTGTCCTTAGCTAAAATTTTTATATGATTTCTTTAAGTGACTTTCTGTTCCTCAAGATTCTAACTAGACACTGTCTTATGTTTTTTCTAAGCAACTTTGTTGTATGAAGTGGCAAAATTAGGTATTATGGAAGGAAGCAAAAATATATGTAGCTAATATTACTGGATGATTAAGATCTCAGAAAAAAAAGATGTCAAAAATATTTATGATCATGGCAGCAAACATTATGCTAGGAATTGTAATCAATATTAACCAATGTCCCTTTGCCCTCACCCTCCACTCTTATTCATCCATTCACTCATAGATTACTTGAGCAACGTATTGGGATTTTTTGGTTTTTTTGTTTGTTATGTTTTTTATTTGTTTTTTGTTGTTTTTGTTTTTTGTTTTTTGTTTTTGAGAAAGAGTTTCGCTCTTGTTGTCCAGGCTGGAGTGCAATGGCGCAATCTCAGCTCACTGCAACCTCTGCCTCCTGGGTTCAAGCAATTCTCATGCCTAAACCTCCCGAGTAGCTGGGATTATAGGCACCTGCCACCACGCCTGGCTAACTTTTGTATTTTTAGTAGAGACAGGGTTTCAGCATGTAGGCCAAGCTGGTCTCCAACACCTGACCTCAGGTGATCCACCCGCCTCGGCCTCCCAAAGTGCTGGGATTACAGGCGTGAGCCACTGTGCCCGGCCACATATTGTTGTTTTATATGCACACACGTGAATTTATATAAATAACATTTTGTTATATACTTCATTTTCTTAACTATTTTCACTACACACTATGTTTTAAGACCTATATGTTTTTCTGTGTATTCATTATTCATATAACTCACCCATATCCAATGGCTTCTAAATATATGGCTATATGGCTTCTTCATTTTTTTTATTTTTTTATTTTTTTTTTTTTTTGAGACGAAGTCTCATTCTGTTGCCCAGGCTGGAGTTAAGTGACATGATCTCGGCTCACTGCAACCTCTGCCTCCTGGGTTCAAGCAATTCTCCTGCCTCAGCCTCTCGAGCAGCTGGGATTACAGGTGCCCACCACCATGCACAGCTAATTTTTGTATTTTTAGTAGAGACGGGGGTTTGCCATGTTGGCCAGGCTGGTCTGGTCTCAAACGCCTGACCTCAGATGATCTGCCCACCTCGGCCTCCCAAAGTGCTGGGATTACAGGCATGAGCCACAGCGCCCGGCCATTACGATGGCTTTTACCTGAAAAATCCTCAAGTGTTCATACACATCTATGAAACAAAATCTATTTCTAATCTAATAGGAAAAATGGCTCATTTCTCACCACCTTCCATTGCCTCTAGCCGATGTTCTTCTATTCAGCATCAGACTGCATCTTCACAGGCTATTGTCCTGAGGAATGTTGTACTGGAAGCTGGTGGCTGATTTAGTATAGGCCATACATTGTTGAAGTTCATGAACCATCACAGATGGAAAACTCAAATTTCCATCAAGAAAGAGGAAATAGTTCTCCCCCTTTTTCCTTTTCCTCTATGTGAAAACCACAATGAGATACGTTGCTTATCCAATTCTCTGAAGATGCAACTTAATCAGGAGTCAGTGATTCCTTTGGAATCCAAAAATGTACTAAAATTTTATACAATATTTTGAATGTACATAATACGCATTTTTGCCTAATTGTCATTGAATCTTTACCCTATGGCCATATATAGAGTCAGCAGTGCTTTTAGGAAAGTAAACATACAGGAGACTTTTTTAAATGTTTAGTTTATGACTTGGTACTGTGTGAAATAATCAAGGACAAAATATTTCCAAAACTAAACTAATTTTTGAACTAAGTAATAGCAAAAATAGAAAATAAATAAAATATATAACAGAAAATGCTAATATTCAGAAAAATATGCATTTATAACTGGATATCTATTTAGATTGAAAATGTTTAATTTTCATTGAAACATTGAAAATGTTTAATTTTCAATCTAAATAGATATCCAGTTATAAATGCATTTCAACTGCTGACTACCTAAGTATGAAGGAGGTCTATTTGCTCTGTTTTTTTTAAATGTAAATTTTGCTTCTATCTTAGCATGTTGCTTTTCTTTTCTGCACATAAGTGCAAATATTTTCAATAGTGGACTGCATCACATATATCCCAAAAATACGTGAAATGATTATGAGTCAATTTAAAATCTCTGAAAATTAAAACTTAATTTTAGTTCCTTGATGTATTAAGGTATATTAATAAAAGATAAAAGTAGAAGACATTTATTAGACAACTGTCTGAAGGACCTGGTATATGGACTTCTGCATAAAAAGACTGAAGGTCCAGTAATTAAATAAGAAATCCACTAAAGTCTAACACACACATACATGCGTGCACACACACACTGTTACACATGTGGGCAATTTTTTTTTGGAAGGAGGCATGGGGAACCGATTCTTGCTCTGTCACCCAGGCTGGAGTGCAGTGGCACAATCTCGGCTCACTGCAACTTCCGACTCCTGGGTTCAAACAATTCTCCTGCCTCAGCCTACCAAGGACCTGCGATTATATGCCACCATGTAATGGTGGAATGTAATTGGGGAATCCTGATCACTACCTTTAAAAAGCATTCTCTGTCCTGTGCCTATGCTAATCGTGTGGACACGGAGGCCTCCACCACTTCTCATCCCAGTGGTGCCTGAGAAAGTGTCCGGGTTCCACCCACAGGTGCAAGAATGGCTTCCTCCTCAAAGCCGTGCTGTACTGTGCAACCAATCTAGAATCTCATAAAGTCTCATCCCTGCTGAGAAGCTCATCCAGTCATCCATGAGCAACAGTTTCTAAATAGTGGCCCTTGCTTGTCTTTCTTTAATCCTAAAAGTGCTGAGAAAATAATCTACCATGCAATTTATCCTCCTGAGCATTCCTAGGATCGCCTTCCCCAACAGAAACTGCTCCTTTCTTCTTGAGTTATAAAAGAAAGGTCTATATGCACATTTCTTAATGTAATCAGATACAATTTTTAGACCAGAAGAGTAAAAAGGAATTGGGATTATTATGTGCCTTACCTTGCATATGTCTATGTTGGCAGATAAAATATAGGGCCATATAAATATCTCCCTAAAAAAATAGTGGTTGATCTGAAATTCAAACTGGCTATTCTGTATGTGTATGTGTATATATATATATATATATATATATATATATATTTTTTTTTTTTTGCTATATTTGATGAACCTAGCCTTAATAAGAAAGGGAACCACAGGTCAGCCAACCACAAAAATCCTTCTTAAATCTGTAATCATTTGAAAATGTGGCTTCGAATAAATAATTTATTAATTAAATCCATAGGCAGCAGTTATCCCAAAATGGTCACTTTATTAATGTGATATGAACAGAAAGAGTTATTGATGAATATTTCACTAATGATCCAAAATCATATTGAAAATTAAATGCAGATGTTAGATTTTGATAGTTTAAATACGTAATTGCCATTAATATATTCACAAAATATTATTAGGAATTTAAAATCCTTTTTATTAAGTTATCATGATGAAATTGTCATAAATTAAGCTATGGATAGCAAATTCCTTCTCCATAAATTTTTGACCATCACTTTCATAACATCAAGATTTATTTACATTTTTCCTACCATCAATCTTTACTTCATTATAAAATGCGGTGCTCTTCTAATTAAAACATGAATCTCCATGACTGATTAAAATGGAATTATAAAAATTTAACATTCACTCTGATAATTTTGCACATTAATCACGGTGCAAACTAATGAGTACAATGGGCATTAAAACTAATCACATGATTATAGTAAAATAAAAATATTGAGGCCACAGATTAAAGTTTTCACAGGAAGAATTATGCAAGTGTAAAGTGTTTGTATCTTTAACTCATTCCATTAATTTATATAGCTTCAATAGAATATAACATGACCCATAATGTTTCTTGTTTTGTGTAAGTGTATGTTCTGTTGGATCTTAACACTATCTTATTTATTTATTTATTTATTTATGTTTAAGACAGGGTCTCACTCTGTTGCCCAGGCTGCAGTGCAGTGGCACGATCTCAGCTTACTGCAACCTCTGCCTCCCAGGTTCAAGGGAACTTCCTGCCTCAGCCCCCCTAGTAGCTGGAATTACAGGCATGTACCACCATGCCCAGCTAATTTTTGTATTTTTAGTAGAGACAGAGTTTTGCCATGTTGCCCAGGCTGGCCTCAAACTCCTGACCTCAGGTGATCCACCCATCTCGGCCTCCCAAAGTGCTGGGATTACAGGCGTAAGCCACTGTGCCTGGCCAACAGTTATGTTATTGACACAGAGAATTCCACAATATCGGTTACATAAATGCAATCTTTTCACCACTTTTATAAAACATATAATATAAAAAGATTCAGAAAATTTTAATAAATATATTTTGAAAAGTAATATTTTATATATATACAATTTTTTTGTTTGTTTCAGACGGGGTCTTGCTTTGTCACCCAGGCTGGATTGCAGTGGCGTGATCTTGGCTCACTGCAGCCTCCACCTCCCAGGCTGAAGTGATCTTCCCACCTCAGCCTCCCCAGTAGCTGGGACTACAGGGTCATGCCACTGTGCTTGGCTAATTTTTTAAAAAATATATTTTGTAGATATGAGGTCTCACTATATTGTCCAAGCTGGACAATAACTCTTGTGCTCAAAAACTTTCCTGCTTTCAGCCTCCCAAAGTGCTGGGCTCCACCGCACCCACCTTAAATCATTTTTTCTAAAAATAAATACTTTTTTATTATTTTCAGAGATGAAGTTTGCCTGATCTTACATCTGCTAGATGTCTTGAAAGTCAAGTCTCACCAGATGAGTGGGAGAAAAATCACATAAGCCTAAATAGTATATGTAAAAAAGTGTCAGCATTGGAATTTTAATTCTGGAAGTTTCCTTAAAAAAAAAAAATCAATTAGGCCAGGCACGGTGGCTTAAGCCTGTAATCCCAGCACGTTGAGAGACCGACCTGGGCAGATCACGAGGTCAAGAGATCGAGACCATCCTGGCCAACATGGTGAAACCCCTTGTCTACTAAGAATACACAAATTAGCTAGGCGTGGTGGTGGGTGCCTGTAGTCCCAGCTACTTGGGAGGCTGAGGCAGGAAAATTACTTAAACTCCGGGAAGCAGAGGTCACAATGAGCCGAGATCACACCACTGCACTCCAGCTTGGGTGACAGAGCAAGACTCTGTCTCCAAAAAAAAAAAAAAAAAAAAAAAATCAATTAAAATCCCAGGGCTTCAGCTTTCTCATCTCTAAAATAGATACAAGTATGTAGACACACATATAGATAGATATAAATATCTTATATTTATTATTAGGATTTTGTTGAAGATCACAGTTGGATCGATTTTAAACTTGGTAAAATGTTAGGCTATAAATACAAAAGTAATTATTGTATTAGCACATAAATTATATGTAGATGAATAAATCATAGGCACTTGAAAGTAGTATTTGAGTAATATATAGTTTTTTTTTAATCCCTGGAAAATTTTGACATCATTAATTTGTTAAGTAAACCCTTCTTGCTCAGTAAATTTTTTCATATTCTATTCAGATAATGGAGAATTATAAATTAATCTATATTATTAATACTATATAAAATTAATTCCTTATATGTATATTTATGGAATTATTGTAGCCTTTTTTCTTCCTTCCTGTAAAGAAGAATAACTCTTTGCAAATAACCTAAAAATTATGATCCTACAGCCTCACGGGATTACTGGGGATTGTTTTGTTCACTCTTCCTGGGGGTAAAAAATTACATGGATAACAGAGACTAATGTTCTTGAAGAAAATCAGTGCTTCCCTGGCATTTCAGGAATCAAATTCTCAGCTATATCTTCTTTTAAAGATTCAGAACACTATAAACACTTTTTCATTAGATGCCAAACTTCTGTTACAACACTTCACTGCTCTAGAAATAAATTTTCTGGCCGGGCGCGTTGGCTCAAGCCTGTAATCCCAGTATTTTGAGAGGCCAAGGAGGGCTGATCCTGAGGTCAGGAGTTCAAGACTAGCCTGGTCAACATGGTGAAAACCATCTCTATTAAAAACACAAAAAATTAGTGGGGCATGGTGGCGGGCGCCTGTAGTCCCAGCTACTTGGAGGCTGAGGCAGGAGAATCGCTTGATCCCAGGAGATGGAGGTTGCATTGAGCCGAGATGGCGCCAATGCACTCCAGCCTGGTCATCAGAGTGAAACTCCATATCAAGTAGGTATGTGTATATATATGTATACATACATACATCTCAAGTATGTATGTGTATATGTGTGTGTATATATATATGTGTGTGTGTATATATATGTGTGTGTGTATATATATATGAGAGAGAGATAGACTGTTCTGTTAATTTTAAATAGAATGGAAACATCACAACTCAGGATAATTTGCTTGTCAAATTATACATAGAACTACTGTTCTGCCAGGCAATTGTTGATCTTAATCTGCTGTTTTCACCGTATGGGGTCTCTATATAGGATGAATCTCCACATTTTTGGTCTAAATGTAAAAGACTCTATCCAGCTCTCACTTATGTGTATGAATTCAGCCTAATCTGTTTGGAAATCATCATCATCACCATCATCAAATAGTAATACTCAAATTTGACAAATGTTCTCTATTTTCTAAGTCTTGGGCAAAAAGGGTCATTTCATTAAATCTGAACAGAAATCTCATGACATAGGTACTATGATTATTCTTGCCTAATAGATATAGAAACAGATGCCAAAGTATCTCACTCAAGATTATATGACTCATAAGTGGCAAAGCTGGTTTTTAAACTCTCATCTAACTTACTACGAACCCCATAATTCAAATATTATTTCAAATAATAATATTATTTTAAATATTTTAAGTAATTTCTATTTTAAATAATTTGATTAAAGACCAAATGCCTTGCCTTCTTTTCTAGAATAAATGCAAGCTACCAGTTCCTTGCACTAGCCTAGGCCAGTCTTGTAACTGAAACCCATTGGATTCAAAATCTATTTCAAGTACTTAACTTTCTTCTGAAAATTCCCTCAGCTATAAATTTGAGGTTGGTGATAATTGCAAAGATGCCAGGGAAATTTATAATCATTACTGAACTAATCCTTTTGAAAATATAAAGCAGCATTAAATGTTAATATTACTAATCTTTCTAATTAGATAAAGGGGCAAATGTGTCCAAAAAGTCTGTAACTAAGTTCATTACTCTCATTTATGCAGCTAAGCTTAAGTTCTAACAAATGTATGTTTTAAGTTGATTAAAAATATGGTTGGCTGCATTTATAAATACCCATTATTAACAGGCTATATTGGTAAATATATTTTTGCTCTTATGACAAGAGAATGATGTACTTTGGTCAAAAAAATTATACCTCAATAATTATCTGCTCTCCTTCTATTTTTATTTGCAATAGAAGTGTATTTATTCATGCATTTGTATTCCTATTGAATGAAGGATGTTATGTCACTTGCATTGGGTACATAGGCATCCCTTTTGACAAATAAAATCAGAATCTAAACTACAGAACCAGGTTAAAGTGGGAACAGAAGTACAATTTTAATAAAGGCCAAAGTTTTGCTAGTGTTTCACTTAAAATTTGTTTTTAAGCTTTCTGAATGTTCTCTCAAAGATAAAGACTTAATCATATATGTACCTTTTTTGTATTGTTAACAGGGAAGAAACATACTAATATGAATGGTATTACATACATTATACATGTTATACAAGAGAAGAAAATTATATATTCAAGATAAACATTTTTATAATCACAATACTTCAACATAAATATGTTCAATATAGTAAAGATGGAGTTTGTATGATTTGTCAAGCAAATTCTTCTCAATTATGTTTACATTCTATTTAAAATCAACATTAATGTTGACAATATTCATATATAAGGCTTTTTAATTATTTAAATGGGTTCAAATTTGCTGTGTTCAGTATTATTAGTAAGAAAAGTAGGCACTGGTACGGAAAAATATATATTTTTAGCTCCCTTCTATGAGTGTTTCCATTAAATGCTATGGTCTCACAGTTTTACATGCCTCTCACCACCTCACTGCTCTTGTTGCCTATAATATTTTATTAGTTTAATCCTTCTGAAATAATCCTGGTCATTCAAAACCAATACATCAAAATCTTCTAGAGTGAACAAAAGAAAAAACATTTGTGAAGATTAAAAGAAAAAGGAGACTTCTCAGATATAATAACTTTAAAGAATACATATTACAATGGTGGTTTGATATAAAGATAATTTAGATCCATCTACTTTGAAAAGATGCTTTCTTGACAGTTGAAATTTTTTACACTATTTTAAGTGTTTTCCTCAAGAATTTCTTGTTAAGAGGTCGTTTGTTAGCTTTCAAGTTCCTTGAGGCCTGGGTCTGAAAGAGTATCTGAACAGTGGGTGCTCAGTACAGGTTTGTTGAATTGAACCAGAATAATGTCAGTCATATCAAAAAAAGAATAAGAGGGAAAAAGAAAGAAAGCAGAGCAAATGAACCGCTTTGGTTTTGACACTTGTACAAGTGCTGAATCGACAGCATATGGCCAGGTATAACCTAGTGTGTGAGTGGGAAGGTGGATTAATCTGGGCTGACCTTTTCTAATGGACAAAGCAACTTGGATCCTCTATTTTAAAGCGCTTAAAACTTTGATGTAGGAGGTGTTACATTATTTGGTCTTGACTTGTCATAGGCCTCTGTCACCTTATTAGCAAATGCAAACCTGGGGCTACCTTTTTTGCCTATCTGGTAGATATTTATGGCAAAGACAGCAATAAGGAATTCCAGAAAATAAGTTGCTGGCAGCTAAGACTCTTTTACTTATCTGAATGGTACCAAACCCACAAACTTCTTTGTGAGGTTTGCAAGTTGCCTGCTTCTGAAAATTTTTACTGTTCAAAGCTGACATTAATTCAAAGCTACCAAGTATTATAGATGGCTTGCCAAAATACAATATGGATCGTAGTTTGTATAAAAACAAAAATGAAACAATTAAAAGAAACCCCACACACATAAAGAAAGCTCGCACAAATGCAAGAAGACCATGAGATGGTGTGTCTTAGTTCTGGTATGACAATAACAATTTAATGTCAATTCATAATTTTATTAAGATGGGAGTCATAATGATCATGTGCCATGTGAGAATATTTGAGACAGATCAAAGAAGAGAAAAAAGAATAAAACCTCTAGTATTACCAAACCTTTGCTCTATTATCATTTCTGAAAAAAAAAATTGTAAAACTAAGAAAAACTGGGACATTTTGAAGAAAATGAAGTCAAAAAGGTGAATATAAAATTTTGCTCTAGCAACACTATGAAAAACTGTTCGAAATAAAGGAATAGGCAAGGCAAGGAACCTCACACCTGTAATCCTAGCACTTTTGGAGGCCGAGGTGGGTGGATCACCCGAGGTTGGGAGTTTGAGACCAGCCTGACCAACATGGAGAAACTCCATCTCTACCAAAAATACAAAATTAGCCTGGCGTGGTGCCACATGCCTGTAATCCCAGCTACTCGGGAGGCTGAGGCAGGAGAATTGCTTGAACCCAGGAGGTGGAGGTTGCAGTGAGCCAAGATCCCACCAATGCACTTCAGCCTGGGCAGCAAGAGCAAAATTCCGTGTCAAAAAAAAAAAAAAAAAAAAGAAAGAAAGGATTAAAGTTACAAAATCTCATGCCTATGTCCTGAATGGTAATGCCTAGGTTTTCTTCTAGGGTTTTTATGGTTTTAGGTCTAACGTTTAAGTCTTTAATCCACCTTGAATTAATTTTTGTATAAGGTGTAAGGAAGGGATCCAGTTTCAACTTTCTACATATGGCTAGCCAGTTTTCCCAGCACCATTTATTAAATAGGGAATCCTTTCCCCATTGCTTGTTTTTCTCAGGTTTGTCAAAGATCAGTAGTTATAGATATACGGCGTTATTTCTGAGGGCTCTGTTCTGTTCCATTGATCTTCATGTCTAAAACACCAAAAGCAATGGCAACAAAAGCCAAAATTGACAAATGGGATCTAATTAAACTAAAGAGCTTCTGCACAGCAAAAGAAACTACCATCAGAGTGAACAGGCAACCTACACAATGGGAGAAAATTTTCGCAACCTACTCATCTGACAAAGGGCTAATATCCAGAATCTACAATGAACTCAAACAAATTTACAAGAAAAAACAAACAACCCCATCAAAAAATGGGCGAAGGATATGAACAGACACTTCTCAAAAGAAGACATTTATGCAGCCAAAAAACACATGAAAAAATGCTCATCATCACTGGCCATCAGAGAAATGCAAATCAAAACCACAATGAGATACCATCTCACACCAGTTAGAATGGCAATCATTAAAAAGTCAGGAAACAACAGGTGCTGGAGAGGATGTGGGGAAATAGGAACACTTTTACACTGTTGGTGGGACTGTAAACTAGTTCAACCATTGTGGAAGTCAGTGTGGCGATTCCTCAGGGATCTAGAACTAGAAATACCATTTGACCCAGCCATCCCATTACGGGGTATATACCCAAAGGACTATAAATCATGCTGCTATAAAGACACATGCACACGTATGTTTATTGTGGCACTATTCACAATAGCAAAGACTTGGAACCAACCCAAATGTCCAACAATGATAGACTGGATTAAGAAAATGTGGCACATATACACCATGGAATACTATGCAGCCATAAAAAAGGATGAGTTCATGTCCTTTATAGGGACATGGATGAAACTGGAAATCATCATTCTCAGTAAACTATCACAAGGACAAAAAACCAAACACCGCATGTTCTCACTCATAGGTGGGAATTGAACAATGAGAACACATGGACACAGGAAGGGGAACATCACACTCTGGGGACTGTTGTGGGGTGGGGGAGGGGGGAGGGATAGCATTAGGAGATATACCTAATGCTAAATGGCGAGTTAATGGGTGCAGCACACCAGCATGGCACATGTATACATATGTAACTAACCTGCATGTTGTTCACATGCACCCTAAAACTTAAAGTATAATAGTAATAAAATAAAATTTAAAAAAAGAAAATAATAATATCATGATACTGTTCTTAACAGTTCATCTCAATTTTGTAGACTTATATGCTTCTGCCACATGTTAACTTGTCTTGGTAGTAAAAAGACAAAAACAGATGGATGCTGATTGCTTAATGGCAGAAATATTTGTCTGTAGTTTTTGCTACTTTATAAAATATTACAAAGGAATTCAGAGGTGG
Organism: Homo sapiens; assembly: GCF_000001405.40. Taxonomy (NCBI): domain Eukaryota; kingdom Metazoa; phylum Chordata; class Mammalia; order Primates; family Hominidae; genus Homo; species Homo sapiens. Next base: position 55,590,680 of record NC_000010.11, read on the forward strand.
GCCAAAACCTCAAACTTAATTGAAACTCTCTAGTGTTGTCTGACAAATTAAGATTGTAAGTCACTTTATTATACAGCATCTGGTCATATGGTATATCATCAATGCCAATTATTTCTTTTTTCTTTAAAAACTACAATCACTACATATACACAGTTCCTGCACTCCTAGTAAGAGGTTTTGTTATACATAGAAGTAAGCAAGTTTAATGTACTCATTTCCTAAGAAATAAGAGAATTATCAATGTTAATGTTAGCCAAAAACGTGTTCTTAATGCTCAGTTTGTACCTATCATTAAAATTTAATATAATCTAACCCAATTATCAAAAAATAAATAAAACAAAATCTCACAAAGAGGTTCCATTGCCTTAACTTATCTAGCAACTATATAATAACATTTATCTTCTATCAAAAACACCGAGATAGTTTTCATTTTAGCAATTTACTTGTTTGGCACTCTACATACATTGCTTCATAAAATATTTAAGGTTATGATAGGCAGTCCTGGTGTGGTGGCTCACACCTGTCATCCCAGCTCCTGAGTCCAGAAGTTTGAGAACAGCCTGTACAACATAGTAATACCCCATCTCTACCAAAACTACAAAAAAATTAGCCAAGCATAATGGTGTGCACCGATAGCCTAAGTTACTCTGGAGGCTGAGGTAGGAGGCTTGCTTGAGCCCAGGAGATGGAGGCTTCAGTGAGTGGAAATCAGGCCACTGCACTCCAGCCTGGGTAACGGAGTGAGACTCTCTCTCATAAATAAATACATAAATAAATAAAGTTATGATAGGTAGAACTTTTTCAGTATTTAAAAAAAAGGTAAGTGGTCATCATCCACATTTTTCAGTAAAGAAAAAAGCAAGGGGTCAATAATTAAACATAATTAATTAAAATAAAATTCAAGATTTAAAGGAATATCCTATTTGACAAACTTTTGCTTTCTTTTTCTGTGAAAATCTCACCTGAAGATGTCTGAGTATCAGGGGAGGAGTAAGGAGGAATAGGCAGGAAAACCTGGCTAGGAGCAGGATGTTTAGCTTTCATTTGACACACAGCTGTCAAACTGCACTGTGTGTCCTTTTCCATTGTAAACAGTCACATAATACATAACAAAAAAATTTTAAAAAGCAATGCATGTATACTTCTAGTTTATATGTTGATTTATTTGAAGAGTCGTAAATTATTAAATACTAAGATATACTGTATTAGATGTGTAATACACATACGTTATATATACATGACATATATGTATACATGCTACACTTGTTTTCATAGACATTGAGTTCTATACATGTAAATTAAAGTGATAAGGATTTTCAAGATCTCACTGAAAGAATACCTCTTAGAGTGAAAATCATAAATGAATATACATAACGTATTTCTAGTAGAAAAATGAATTCCCTTGTCTAGATGCAGTCAGTCGTGAGAAAAAAATAAAAGGAGGAAGATATCTTTAGAGATTTCTTATTGCGCCGGTATTTTTCATTTGCCCTGGCAAGTCCAATCTCTATTCTTCTCAAACTTGCTCTGTGCACCCAGGAGGCTGAAATATACAATGTATTATTTCCAGGGCTCCCTTACTGCCTGATGTCAGTGGGGTTCAGCCAATAAAAAGCAGGAGCAAGTGACTGGAGGAAGAGAGAAGAACAAGAACTGGAGGAAGAGAGAAGGGTTTGGTAAGTAGTTACACTCCTGGCTCCCTCCTGCTTCTAGGAATGCTGGCATTAACTATTTCCTTGACCAAAACTCAAAGATCCAGCCAGGCAGCTCTGTCCTCACAAGCTTCTCTGTCTATGGATTTTAGTAAATTATTTACCTCTCCCCTATAGGACTAGGAATGATACCAGGGTCCCTTTATTACTAACTGAGAGGTTCTAGACTATTCTTGTGTGGCTTCCCTGTGGGGTGCCCAAATCTTTATTCCATGTTTCTCAAGTTACCACATCAGTTATCTTTTGGAAACCTGAATGCACACCTAAAATATCTAGAAATTTGAGACCTTTGTTTTCTGGATCTTTTTCAAGAATTAGTTTAGGTGCTGACTTGATAGGAATTTAGCAGAGTATTTTTTCAAAAATACACTTAAAACTACGTCAAACTGTTATTTAATTATGTAATATATTTGTTGCTTTATCTAATTAGATTTGCATTTCTTATATATACCATGCATATAAAAATATATTTGATACAAATTATAATACAAGGCATACAAAACTAGACCATTATAATAACAGAACATTTTCTAAAGAGATTTTAAAAGTGTAAGTCAAATGCCTTAACGTAATACTACTTCTAAAGTGTATTCTAAAGAAATAATCTTCTATGTGTGGTTAGATTTAACTACAGAAATATTCATTGTAACCTTTCTTTAGAAGTGAATATTGAAAACTGAAATAAATCTAAATGTCCAACTTTATAATTGCTAGTTATGGAATACTAACAAATGAAATCCATGCTTTTAAAATAGCATTTAGTGACCCAAATATATGTTCAAAATACGTATAAAAGAAAAACTGGTATGTTATTAAAGAAGATAGAATAAAATTTCTTTTCCAAAATGTATGCTAACAAGACAGTTTTGAAACTTCCGAAAACGAAAATGTTGTTAGGTAATATTTTCACTAAAATTAAATTTTCTGTTTGCTGAGATTATAGGTGTTTCTAACAAATTTTACTGTTGTTTATGTATGCTATAGACACTGAACATGTATAATTTATGTATCAAGGAAAAAATCAGTAAGTTCAATTTTTTCAATAAAAATTAAAAGTCACATAATATATCCGAGAAGATAAAGACGAATTACACTTTATCTGACAAAAGAGAGTGCATGGTTTATGGAGAGAGACAATTTTTTCTCTGGTTTTAGCTCTAAGATATAAAAGGAATTTATTGTATACATCTGGAAATAAGAGGTACTGAATACCTAAAATATATTAAGATTAATTACTGTTTTAGCTTTTTTTTTAACAGTATAGAAGTATTGTGTGATGACTTATCTTATCAACCATTGAAAGAGCCATTTTCAAAGACTGATTAAAATAGAAGACTTCCATAAACAATTTTCACCGAAGCATTGAAAACTATTATCTAAGATTAAGAAAATACTTTTCTAGGGATCCCTCATATCTAGGGATCTAATTACCATTAGATCCACCTCATATAATGGAATTAGGACAACCCAAAGATCTGGATGATTGAATTGTCATTTGGGGATTATTACCATCATACAGCTCAGTTTATGGCAATTTCTATACATGTATTTAGTATTAATTGAAGGAAACTCATAGGAATTAGATGTCAGACATGAGGACTACATACATATCTTTAGAGTGCTTGTGTCCTAAACTGAAAAGTGTATTTTAAGAGTCTGGGATATGAAACCAACTTTTTCTCTATTCTTGTCAAATCCATGTCATTCTAGCTACTGACATAATTTGCACAATATAAGTACAAATAATAATGAGCAAATTTATGTGAAAATATGTTTCCAGTGTACAGGTAGTTTTAACCATTCTTTTTACAAGAAATGTGTGTGTGTGTGTAAATGTCTTAATTGTTATAATGATTAAGTCATTCACAGATGTGTTAACAATGTTTTCTCCATGTAGACAGAGTGATAATAATTTGTATTACATTTTAGAGTTGTTTGATGCAAATAAATAAGAACTCAAAATTTTTTTGAGGTTAAACTTCAAGAAGATGAAAGGAAAACTAAAATCACAAAGTAAAATATAATTAAAACATTTCAACTAAGAAAAAAGTAAAAAGTTAGGCTGTCTAGACAATGTTTGAAGTTTAAGTTGGTTAATTGCAATGGAAAAACTGCTAATTACCACAAATAGTAATTTAGAGACATAAATATTATACAGGTGTGGCTGCAGGAAGTTGATTTTAATCAAACACATTTGGCGTTTCCAATGTTGCAAAAATTACAATTGTAAACACTGTCCAATTCAATCAAATGTTATGTGAATTTTAAGTGAGTCTCAGTAAATTATACTGTATAAAAACAGGATTTTTACTATGGATCATAATTGCTAATGTGTTTCATACTCGATGTTGAAATATAAATCAATTCACTCTCTTATTTGGTTTGGAAATTTAAGAAGACAATTCAAATTTCCCCTGATACACTCTACCAGTGTCACTGGACTGGTGATGTGACAAGAAAGGTCTTCTGTAGAACTGAACTGCAATAATATGGAGACTGTAACAAAATTACATATGTACCTAAGAATATTGACTTTAAAAGCCTTCTTCAGATTGCAGCATTGATTTCTAGATCTGTTGGGAACTGGCTGCCTTACTTAATGTAACAGTCTTGGCAATAGAATAATCATATTTATCACCCATGGATAATTAATTTTTAATCATTGAAATTCACTGAAATATGTTGAATATGAAAACTATACAAATATAATTTTGTATGCTACGATAAGTTTCAGATTCTTTGAAATTTTATTCTAACCATCAATCATAATGGTATAGTATGATAAAGGTAGAACATGTAATTATAAATTCAACATTTAGGAAGTTTATTTTTCTCTTCTTTTTAATTATCTCAAAATGATCTTGATTTCTGCAAAGTATTAGTATATCTGGTAGGTGAGAGTCTATTTCTTTTAAACTTCATCTGTATTAACCAGCTTTATACCACCAAAATGTCCCCCAAATTTAAAACTTTACACAGTAAGGCCTTATATGCACACCTGGCCTCATTTCAAAAGACTAAAGCAGTGGTTCTCAAATTCAGCTGCACATTAATAGAAACTGGAAAACTGTTTAAGCTCCTGATACAAAGCCACATGTCAGACTAATTTATGCTGAATCACTGGGCCAAGGACCCAGACATCAGTATTTTTAAAAACTATGGAGGAATAACCAGGATTAAGAACCACTGCACAAAATGGTAAATGCAACTTTTATTTAAGTTATTTTTTTAAAGAAATAATGGTTGAATTGATACTGATCTTAGTACCAAGTCACGGCAATTTTTTCTGACTTAGAGAATTCATCCTGGCGTTAAGATTATTAAAGAACCTAGAAATTCAAGTGTTTTTGTTTACATTTTTCCTGTAAATATTAGAGTATGCTAGTGCTCAGCCTTATTTGATAATTTTGGAAAATATATTAAACATTTGAGATTAAATATCAAAAATCTCTAAAATAATTTTAGAAATACCATTCTTCTATGAAATAAGTAAGCTCAGTCAAGATACATATTATAGTGCCCATTTAAGAACGTCTAATAATAATGTTTGCACTGCTTAAAGATTAGGTTGATAAATTAATTATTGTTGATTCTACTTGCATAATCAACAGACACCTAGAGATGGAGTCTTAAGTATAGACACAGAAGTTGAATACTTTTAAGAACTTTTAAATTTACGTCCTGGTTAAATCTTACTCTAAAATTATGTTGCATGGTTGTGATTAGTACATGTGTGATTAGAACCGTCTTTCTCAGGTTATTACACCACCATATAGACACAGCAAAAATAATAAAATTAAAAATAAAGCAAGAAAAATAATGTAACACTTTATTGGCTTTGAGATAATTATTTTGAGATCCTAATCCTACCAAAACATTCTGCTTTTCTTAATTTGATCCTACTTTTTTTTCTTTGCTCGTTTTAATAAAGGATGAACCAATATCCTGAGAAATTTTCAAACAGGGCTGAGTATAACACTCAGTCCCTAGATCTCACTGTATTTTAGAAAAATTGTAAAGTATTTCAAATAATGAGTAAAGTTTCAACTCTGCACCATTGTGTCTTTGTAATACAGGGAAAGTCACTTCACTTCTCTCCCTCTCTCGTTTTTGGCATATGCAAGGCAGAGAAAATAATATCTACTCCAGCTATCCCATAGGTTATTATAAAATATAATAAAAGATAGAAAATCACTTTATAATATTCAAAGTATTAAAAAAGTAAGGCATGATTATATGTGGGATTAACAGCAGTTTGTTATTTACCATTTAATGTATTTTAATGTACGTTTTTGCCATATTTAAAAATTATAATTTTTACATTTTGATTTTTAATTGAAAGAGTAATAGTATGACATTATGCCATGTTATATCTGATGCCATTATGTCAAACAAACAAACAAAAGCATTTTAAACTATTTGGAATATGATAAAAATAAATCTTTTAACTATGATAATACAGGTTTTTGAGGATTTAGTTTGTACAGCAAAAACAGAGGCAATAAAGGCAAAAATAGATAAACAGGATTACTTAAAACTATAAAGCTTGTGCAGAGCAAAGGAAACAGGAGGGTGGAGGGTGGAGAGACAACCTACAAACTGGGAGAAAATATTTGCAAACCTTATATCTCAATGTACTAGTGACTATCACCCTAATAACTAGTCACGGGAGCATTGTCATGCATTTCGTATTTTTTAATTTTCGAGATGCTGCCACTTACCATGGCGGGAGCCTGATCCCTGCGGAATCGATTGTGGCTGGACTTATCTTGAATATTCTGAGTCAACATACCCAACCATAAGGTGCTAATTCATTCATGCTTGAAGGGCATAACAATCAATACACGTTCACGCACACAAGTACGTTCACGCACATACGTACGTTCACGCACACGTACGTTCACGCAGATACGTTCACGCATAATTTAAAGGACTACTTCTGATTAAATCCGAAAATCCACCCTCCCTCCATCTCTGACTTTATTGTTAAATTAGGTAAGAGGTACCCTTGCCGACCCCCAGAAACAAGATACTTAAATTGAACCTAGTCAGAACCCTAAAAATCATAATTTAACCATGAACACTCCAACACTAGCCCCTCGATTAACGTAATTTTCTAAAAAATCCCAATATTCTCCAACCAAATAAAATCTCCTATTTATATGTTAACTAAATTTCTGTCTTAATACTTATATAATACTTCAAGCATCCCTCTCTGAAAAGTGTGTATCCCAGATATTATAGTCCTA